>NC_000005.10:85261322-85564352 GCF_000001405.40 Homo sapiens
AAAGAAAAGATGTTGATTCATAAAAGTTCTAGTACCTCACATTGGTATGATTTCCAGATGTTTTAATTACATATCACAATGCATCTCTTAACAATGAATGCACTAAACTGAACAGAAAAGTTACAGCCAGCTGGTTCTCTGTCAGGTTAAATAAGTTACATTCCTTGTTTCCAGCTATTTACTTTTATAGCTCTCAAGCCTCAATAACTCCAAGATTAGGAAGGATAGTCAATATTATACTGCATGGTACACCTCATAGATTTATGCAAATTATATCATTCTATTACTTTTTGATGACTAATACATTGATTTTAATAGTAATATCTTCTGAATATTCTTGTTGTTTAGAAATAACTGATGTTACATAATAGTGAACCTGTTTAGTTGCAAAATCACATTTTAATGCTTTTGTGTTTCTTCAGTATTCCTGCTTTTTTCACTTACCTTTGTTTGCTATTATTTCTTACTAAGGCAAGAAGATTCCCCACTTCCCTCAAAATATTACTATCTTTATATTACACACAGGCTAATTATCCTGCCCAATAATTTTCTTCCTTTTCTGTGATTAAAAATGTTCATAAAAATACAGCATATACATCTAATTCCATGTTACAAATTTCAGGTATCTCTATAAACAGTCCTGAAAATCAAAGGAGTAGAGGATGACTTGATTAACTTTAAAATAATGTCAGAGAGAAACCCAAAGATGAGTAAGGCCTGGTCCCTATTTTTAAAGAGCTTCTTAAATCTGTTTAATATTAAACTAAACTGAAAATAACATGCCATCTATTTTTTTCAACTTTAATGAAATAATTGTGATAGCATAGAACCAATAAGTAGAGGGCACAAAGAAATAATTCAGCATCAATCATTTTGCTCTGTAAGCCAGCTGTAGGAGAAAAAGAGAAAACTGTGGGTCCTTGCATTTTCACGTACCTGTGCAAAATTACTGCGAGTTCCCCAAGTCACTTTATAGATACTAAGAGGAGTAAAAGGCTATAGTTTTTATAATTTGTCAAATATGTACAACTGATAAATGTTGTTCAGTTAGTGGTCTTGTGATATTATTATTTCCCTAGACTGCTATAATATGAAGATAATAATTTACTGATAGATAAATATAAAACATATTGGCCCATTAAGTTATTTTCTCTTTTAATTTTGATTTTCTTTTGCTTTCCTTTTTGAAATTTTTCTATTCAAATGATAAGTTCTCTTTTGTATCTTGTGATAGCTGTAGAACTGAACCTTATATAAAAGCCATTTTACATCTTGATGCTTTATTATCAGTTTACACTTATTTCCATAGTGTCATTCTTGTTTTCAAATAATGTTTGATATATAAACTCATATGAAGGTAGTGGCTTGAACATTTTTCCTTATTATTGCTGTAACAGTTACTATCAACATATTTTCTGGATATTATATTATTTAAGACTCAAGATATAAGTTATCTATATCCCAGATAGTTGTTCTCCAGTGACAGAATCAACTTTCCACTCATTAATAATAATTTTCATGTTTATGGCATTGAAAACATTTTTGTTTAAATTTTTTTGAAAAGCTTGATGCAACTTCAGTAAGAATATTTTATCCCTTGAATAAAGGAACTTTTAATTTGCAAATAGAATACAAATGTAGTTCATTAAACTACATGAAATTCTTTAGAGAGCCTGCAATTATGTTTGATCAAAGAAATTTCCAGTTAATACAAAATTAAATATCAAATGCTTTGCACATAAAGTAAAGGAATTAAGTAAGTTCAACATAATTGAAATTTACCTCCATTCATAAATACATATGTGACTTGACTTGTAAATATAGATATTTTTATTGAATTAATTTATCTAATAATTCAACTTTTACTTTTGTAATTTTGAGTATATTAGTAATTAAATAGAGTTTAAGGCAAAAAACAGTTATTTGAAAAATTACAACAAATTTGATTGTGGTATTAATTACAACATATAGATTGTGGTAAATAGATAGGTTAAGGAGAATGACGTAATCACACAAAGAAATACGAGGAGGAAGGTTTCAGATCACTTAGCCTCTGTGAGAGGCATTCATGCTTAGACTACAGCAAGCTGGGTGTATCATGGTTTTGCTGCATGGGAATCCACTTTCCCCTTGTTCTTTTTCTAGTGAATACAGTAAAATTGACTGAAGACTTAATAGTGGGTAAAAAGCAGTGTGTGTGGAGATGCCAAAATGTCTGAGATTAGATGTAATCTATTTTAGAGAGATCTGGGTAAAGGCAGCTGTGCAACATCTGGGATCTTGAGGTCCTAGGGAAATTTGGAATCCCTTTGGCTTTGCAGAGAACACTGTTGGTTCTCTTGGGAATATGAGTTTGAGTGAAGACCTTTCCAGGGGTTTCATGCAAAAATTTCATTCCCAGAAGCTAACTGTCAGACAAACACAGGAGCATTTGGAGTATCTTAGCAATCTTGCTTATACCCGCAAAGATGAAGAGTAACATATAAAGATCACCGTAAATAAAAATTTGAATTTAGTAGCAAATTTTAAGTGCAAATATGACCAATTGTGTTTGATGATTTATTAGATGTGATTCATTTTAAAGTGCCTGTTGAATTAAATTACAGACAGTTTTACTGCTGTTATTTGAAATATGTCCTATACATGGAAAGCACTAGAATTTCAATGTGTTGCTCTAAGTATTTTAATGTTTAAATAGAGTCAACTTTGATATTTTGAAAATATTTAAAATGATCTTTCCACCTTAGTAATTTCAGCAAAGTAAATTCTCTATAATAATTTGGCATGAAATTAAAAAGGTAGACTTAAATGGAAAAAATAACAGGTTCTTTTATGTTTCCTTGTATGAGTTTAAAGATCAATTATTTTATCATTAATTCTTTTAGAAGCAATAGAGGTATTTTAATTTTTTTACTTGTTTCAAAGCTGTATTTCTACCTCTTCTGTATTATTTTATAAACATTTTTAATCATAAAGTTTTCCATTTATATAGATTAGTTTTTATTTGCTTGGATAATCTCTTAGTAGATGTGTTCTGAATATGAAAAAATGCTATCTTTTTAATTGTTTTGCATCTCAAAGGATTTATCTTTGCTGTTAATAGCTTTCTTTTAATCTATTTGAAAATTTCTTTAAATGATTTATCTAACTTTCATGATTAGAGTGAAAATCTATGGAAGATTTTGGATAAAAAGAAAAATACAAATAAATATTTAAATACACTTAAGAAAGACTTACTAAGAAATTTTGTGCCTGGTGCAGTGGCTCACACCTGTAATCCTGGCACTTTGGGAGGCCGAGGTGGGCGGATCACCAGAGGTCAGGGTTTCGAGACCAGCCTGGCCAACATGGCGAAACCCCGTCTCTACTAAAAGTACACAAATTAGCCGGGTGTGGTGGCATGCGCCTGTAGTCCCAGCTACTCAGGAGGCTGAGGCAAGAGAATCGCTTGAACCTGGGGGGTGGAGGTTGCAGTGAGCTGAAATGGCGCCACTGCACTCCACTCTGGGTGACAGAGTGAGACTCTGTCTCAAAAAAAAAAAAAAAAAAAAAAGGTATCAAATATTACCACCGTTGCTTTTTAAAAAATATTTTGCCTCAAATTGTAACAAGTGTATAATGGACAGCACACACGGATCATTTAAATTGGCTTCAGTTCAACTCAACCTACCCTCTTATATTCAGTAACATAAGATTTGAACACAAATTAAATTATCTGATTCTCATTTTAATTTAATAGAGTTATAAGAATTAACCAAACCAATATATAACATGACAGGTATCTATTATACTTCTTGGTATTTTACTAAATATAACTATCTTTCACTTACCTGTCTTGGATTGAATTCTTTTCTACAAAATGTAACTGAGCCTTGAAAACTAAAAAGAAAGATGCAGTTCAATACTTTAAAAACTGTACACCATCAATTTATGCTCTTTATTTTTCATATTTTTAAAATTTTTATGTCTGGTGAGATTTCTTTGGGAAAAAGTTTGTATCCAGTACATTTATACTACTATCCATTTGAATTAATCATAAATTCCAGCATATTTTTAGATTTTGCTTTGGGAAATAATACTTTTCTTTTTACGATAGTATTTTTAAAATAAAAACCCTAGAAAATTATTTTTAATAATTTAATAAGCACTTAAACCCGGAAACATATCAATTTTCCTTAACCTATTGCCCAGTTTACACTATTACACTTATTTATAAAAATTTTATATTGAAAACCTGCAAAGTCATATGCAGTATCACCCAACTATGCATCTATAATGTGATTCCAAGGCAGCACGTATGTGCACTACAACAACATGTGTAATTATTCATAAGGTTTCAAAGATATCGTTAAAAATTTTGTAATAAAAGAACCATCTAACTAGAGCAAGGAATTTTAAGTATCTCTGATTTTCATTTAGAAAAGTAAAATTATCCATTATGCTAAATCTTTGTTATTTTCTATTCCTTTTCCAAATCCATTAGCTAGTTTGAGTTTGTCATTTTATTGTTTCTGAGTTTTTTTTTTTTTTTTTTTTTTTTTTTTTTTTGCTGTGGGGGCAATTAAAAGATCAATGTGTAGTAAGATTTACTTGGAAGCACAAAATATTAATGAAAAGGAGAGGGGTTGTATTACGCTAGTGAACTTTTAAGATGTCTTTGTTTCAGAAAATCAGAGCTGACTTTATGGATGTTGTTATAAATGGGGATTATTATAATAATTTTAAAGTTTACATGCAGTAAAAACTGCATAAAATATCAATAGTATTCTCTTTGGAGCATACTTCAAATACACGATACAAAGCACTTATTCTGAGGTCTAATGATGTTACTTATTAGCTGGGACAAATTGGAAGTCAGCTTGTCAGTATTTCTGATACCCTCTGCAATATAAGGACAGGAGAGGAACAGTTTAATCAAGTGTGACAGTGGCATCATTAAAAGTGCCAAGCTGTGTCACAAAGGGATTGCTGAAGCAGTGTTCTCTAGAAACTCCATGAAATAGCTAAAACAAAACTTAGAATTCTGAGGAAAAAAATTTTCATTGAAATTGACAACAATAAATATTAAAATTAAGGCCTCAGGGTAGCCTCAAGAAGAAAGTGGACAGAAATTAAAGGAAGAAGAAAATGAATAAAAGACAACATCAAATAAAATAAGATGCCTATGCATAGAGATAAATTAATTTGTTTATTAATTTCACAAAGTTACATCTATAGAGAATCTATACAGGAAAAAAGCTGGTACATTTTTAAGAGGAAGGCCAAAAACTGTCACATGAGGGTAGGTTATATTGATACCATGCTCAGTTACAACATATTTTTCAAAGTTCCATAAAGATGGTTCATGGTGAATTGCTCTAATCAAGAACTGCAAAATGAGAATATTAAAACAAATTGAGACTCATTCTGTCATATGCATATAAAGAAAAGAAAAAATATAATCTATCTGACTATTGTATGCCTATAAAGATAGAAGGGAATTGTGGACCCCAAAATAAGTGACATGTTACTCTAAAATTTCTAAAAGTATAGGCCTGCTCATTTCAAACATATTCAAGAGTGACTCAGCATAAATAACATGCTGGGGAAGATGATCTGGGACACAATAAACAATGCAAATAAAATGCTTTCCTGAGTCCATATTAAAATATGTAACGTGAGTTGATAAAATAAAATATAACCCCCTTGTTCAATCTAGCTATTAAGTTGAGGTTAGCATATGTAATACATTTAAGTAACAAGTCACATTTTCCCATCTTTTTTTCAAACTACAACTTGGATGTGAATAGAAAACGTATTTTTCCCCCATAACTAGTTTTTCTTTCTTCCTGAGCACACAATCACTAGTTATTAGGAAAGTAGGGGTAATAACCAAAAACTGTTTCTGAATCTATTTAAAGATTATCATATTGTATGTATTTTATTATATATTACATAGTACAATATGTGTGTAATACATATGTAGTATAGGCATCACATACACATTATATATATGTGCGTGTGTGTATATATATATATACTATATTGCCTCTCATCTCCAAATCTACCATTCATTGTCTTCTTTATGCAAATGATGCTAGACTCTGTAAAGACATCTTCACCAGATGACATAATGTTAAGCTTTGACAATAGATGGCTCTGTATGGACTCTAGAGAAGTAAAGGGCTTCTCTTCCTTGGTTTGAGTGTGCCCCTCCTGCCAGGCTTCTGCAGTGTACACCACAGTTACTGTAGAAGAAGTTGGTTCTTTCAGCGTGGGTGACTTCTCCAGGAACAAATTCTTGCAATACACACAACTTCTGCTGCATGTACAGCTTTTCCAGCACCTGGCTCTTAGACCAGGAGCACATTTCTAGCAAGTTCTGCCTAATGCACATTAGCAGCTTTTCCACATCCAGTAAACCACAGCTTTGTCCTCCCTAATGATAGATCTCAGCCCTGAAGGAGAGATTCTCTACTGGATGGGGATGCTCATTTTTATAACAAGAACATGAATCTTTTTCCACCCTTTTGCCATTTGCTCATAGCTGGAGTCACATCTCAACATTCACCAGAGATAGTAGTATACACGATGACCCAGGGAGAAAAAAACTTCTGCAGCAAAATAATCACAAGACTTTGCTTACATATATCAGCAGAAAGCTGGAAAACCTGTGTGAGAGTGGATTCTAAGGATCAGACAGGATAGGATATAACACTAAATTGGGTTTTATTCATTTTTACGGGTGTACCTAATTTAGCTCTTACAGCTGGAGATGACTGGAACAGCTAGAAATAGCTCTGTAATTGGCAGATTAAATGAAACTTGATTTAGTGGTGACCTATATTTAATGAGGCTGAGATCCCAGAGTTCCATAGCATAATATGGAGCAAGGAATTAGAAAGCTTGGGGATATAGGGAAGTTTTATTGGATTTATCATGTGTGCTTTGTATACCCAGACCCCAGGTGAATTCCATGTAGCCCAGATATAACCATAGGGAATGCTGTCATTGAGATGCACTTCCTGATTTCAGTGGCGATTATGGGATCTTAAAATATTGGAGGTCAAATGGCAACACTTAACATCAAAGGCAATGTGGGCACATCTACTGTAAAGAGAAGCAGGGCTATATCAGATAACAGGAACATTCCTAAACTGCTTCAGATGAACTAGATTTGTTAACAAGTGTTCTAAATGGCAAAATACAAAGTACATCAATGCTTTTCCAAAAATTATTGTTATCTATGTGTGTGAGTGCATGTGTGCACGTTTGTGTGTGTGTGTGTGTGTTGCACAAATGTTTGGTCAAAAAGGAATCACAGCCTTGCAGAAATAGAGGGTGTAAACATTTGGGGAGCTGACAATAAAAACTGCTAAAAATAGTTTTCACACATATTTGGGAGGAGAGAAAATCTTACGTGGGATTCTCTCATGGTTTTGTGATAGCCTGCTCTATCTCTTATAAGTCTTTCCATGTTTGTTATTTAAATCGCAGCAAGATGGTCAAGAAAGACAGTATTTTCCCATTCATATCTAGGACAGTATATCACCAGAGCTCCTGATATCATATTATCTTAACTCATATTTTAATACAGAGTTTGAGGATTTTCCATCTCTAAAAAAATAAGGAAAATTATTTTAATATAGCAGGCATAAGGCTAAACTTAATAACACTAATATTTGGGGTTAATAGAAGATAAAAGAAAGATAAATACAAAGACAAAGAGAAAGACAGAAAGAGGAGATGTAATTCTCATTATGCCACACAACCCCAGGCAAGTTCTCTTTTTTCTTTTTTTTTTTAAGAATTATACGTGAATGAAAAACTGTAGTGAAAATAGTAACACTTTCCTCTAGCAATGTGTAGCTGTAGCGTAAATGTGTGAAGTGTATCATAAAATCCAACTCTACTTGTCACAATACAGATACAGAGATTCAAGGAGCACCCTCTCATCTGGTAGATAATGATAGGTCTCTCTATTTATATATTTTTTCTTTTGTTGTAATAGAAAAAAGTATTTACTGTTGCACATCTGAAAATACAATATCATATATTTGATCATTATTATAGCTTTGGGACATTGGCTGGTGTCAAAGAAAAATCAGAGGCACAATAAAATTTTAGAGAGTTTGAGTAAGAAGCAACCAATTAGCGTTCCAATGACAAAATGTCAGAGGCAATATTTATTGGAAAAATGCAAAAGCACAGTAAGTAAATTATTTGAATGGTTTGCAATTACAAAATGGCTTCATTTTAGTCCACCTTGGTGGAAAGTCTCTAATCACATAATCATATGTTCATTGGCTGCTTATGATTGGTTGAGGTTAAATTTTAGTTCTGTTTAACATAAGCATTTATCGGCAATGACCCAAGTTAAGTTTTACTTATGTTTGCTTTAAGGCTTTCTTTTCTTTTTTTTTTTTTTTTTTGAGGCGGAGTCTCGCTCTGTCACCCAGGCTGGAGCGCAGTGGCGCGATCTCTGCTCACTGCAAGCTCCGCCTCCCAGGTTCACACCATTCTCCTGCCTCAGCCTCCCGAGTAGCTGGGACTACAGGCGCCCGCCACCACGCCCAGCTAATTTTTTTTTTTTTGTATTTTTAGTAGAGATGGGGTTTCACCGTGTTAGCCAGGATAGTCTCGATCTCCTGACCTCGTGATCCACCCACTTCAGCCTCCCAAAGTGCTGGGATTACAGGCGTGAGCCACCGCGCCCGGCCCCAGGCCTTTGGTTTTGTTTGCTCAAATTTTTCGGGACTGTTACCCATTTTATTTTTGCTTTACATTAGTTAACTTTAAACTTAGGTGAGGAGAAACCCGCGGTGCCTCCAGCCCCTGCCCTCTCCCCCTTTTCTCCTGATACACTCTAGTAGAGAAATACTTCATGGAGGATCATACTTATTGAGTATAAATACAAGAGCTAAAATTTATCTATACCTCCCCCCAAAACACACACAAACACACACTCTCTCTCACACACACCATTTTGACTCGAGGAAGATACATTTTTCTGGGTTACTCCAAAATGTGATGTTTAGACTGTATACTATTCTTTTGTGTCAGACTGCCCTATTATACATTACACTTTTCATTTATTAATGAATAGAACATACATTAGTTCCCTAACTCCCTGCTTCTAAGTTCTTGAAACTTTCTTTTAAAAATATTCTACTTTATTCTTTCTACTTATCTCTTCTTTATTCTGTCTCTTCTGTCACTCCTCAGTGTCCATTTCTATAATAAATTGGTCACTGCATATTTGGGATAAGCCATATTCTTGTTCTTGGCATATTAGAGTGCCCACTCATTATCCAATTATGCTGTCTGCTCAAGGCAGACTCTTACAGTGGAATAAAGAGAGCTCCTTCATACCTTTTTAATTTACTCTTTTCAGGGGAAACTCATGAAAGAAATACTTTAGTGGATATATTTCCCTCAGCGAATCTAGCTATAATACATTAGAAAGTTGAGGATGAATATTTAAAAATTACCCCTGGAAGAGGTTTCATTCAGTGATGAATATGTACTCAGCACACCCCTGCCTCCAGGAATTATCAACCTATGATTATCAATTAAAAATCTGTTTTTTAAACTCATATTCATAACTCTATTAATACAATAATATTACTAATTAATCAAGTAAAAACAAGGCCATAGAAACATCAATTTCTGTGCTCTTTAGTTCAGGCATGTTTTCACCCATATGGAAATAGCTACCTCTCAGTAGATCAATATGCCTCATAATCCTTTATGAAAAATGTACAATTAATTTAATACATATTTTAATTTTTGTTCAAGAAAAAAATGATAAGCTTAGAAGATCATCTTCATCATGCAAAATTATAATTTTTAGACCTATCCAGAAGGTTGGAGCTTTCAAACATTAATATCAACCATGCTGCAATGCTTCAGTTGACATTCAGTCTGGCAACTGGCTAGTTCTCTTGAGCCAAGCAGTGCATTCAATAAGGCCTAAACTTATAGGACCAAATTTAATTTTACCAACAGGAGAATTTCCTGGTATTGCTATCAGGAGAAAAATCTTTTTTCCCTCATAACAGGTCAAAGACGAAGAGCAACAATCATTTTGCTTTATTTGTCTTGAGAAATTAATTCTCAAGTTGACTCAGCTCCCATATCCAACCACAAACGGAGTGAGATTTTGACACAGGGAAGAGTTTTTCTTATGTTTACTCTTTTCTTTTTCCTGCCTAGAATTCTTTATCAAAGCTTTGTTTCTGAAACCCTCAACTCTACTAAGTTTAAATCATGCAACTTTTAATGTCAATGTACAACTTACTTCATTGTGTCTTATCATCATTTCACTCCAATTATACAGATATAATCTCCATTTCCACACAATCAAGTGTTTTCTCTTAAACAGCTTAGATGAGATTTTCTATTTCATTTACTTTCTCTGGGGATATTTTGTGTTACCTCAGTATTGTCCTTCCTGTTCTATAAAGGCGTCTTTTTATTAAACTATCTAGCTTATCCATAATCTCCTATACTCACCCTTTCTTATTTATATATAACTAAGTATAGTCATACTTTATAGACAGAATCAATTGCATACAAGCATGTGATACCCGTATTCGACTTACCACTTTTAAGATGTTTACATACATTGTTAAATTTTATCATATATCTTCAATTATTCTGAGAATAAACTGCCAACCATTGACATTCCTTAGCCATGATAAGCAATCTTTATGTTTCCTTTTTTATTTTTATCTTTTTAGTAGAACTGACTGAAAGTGAGTTATAAAATTTTATTCCTTATCCTGTTTGGCTTTTATGACCTACCATTCTTTCATTTTCTTTAGGTGTTTCTCTATATAAACTATATTTTAGAAGTAACTCCAACTAAATGACAAGCACAGTGTTCTTGATATTACAGTTATCAAACTGTCCATAATATTGGTGAACTTTTGAACTGCTATAAAACTAGTGGAACCCCTTCTTATTCCGTAAAATCACAGAATTACTTCTATTACTTCTGAATGTATCAGAGCCACTGACTCATAGCATGAATATTTTACAAACATAAATTTTCTTTTAAAATAATATTTTTTATTTTTGTTAATTCTCTATAGAAAATTGTCAATAATGATTGTCCATTATTCAGATAATAATAATTTTATTTGAATCTCTTTTTTATAACAAAATAACAGTGATTCTCTCATTCTCACTTGATGATGAGTTGCTGTAAATGCAAGGCTTTATCTGTAGTTGATCTTTCTACTTAAATACATTCTTCATTTGGTTTCCACTATTCCTAAAAGTACGTTCTCATCTGCTTTGTAATGATCTAGAAGTTTATTCACTGGTTACTCAATCAACTTAAACTCTTCTCTTTACTTTTCAAATGCTCTATAATCTGATTTCTCTGTCACACTAAACTCAGTACTCCATATCTAGATCTTCTATATTTAATCAACTTCCTGATTATCTTTAACCTTCTATGCTAAATCCCATCTTTGCTAATGTTTATGTTACTCCCCTACTCATAATGCACTTTACTCCTCAAAAGCATAATTTTGGAATTTGATCCCGGTACCATAATAAATTGTATTTCTTTTTATCTTCATGGCTCTGTCTTTACTCATGTGTAAAATATCAAAATAACAATACCTATCTTAATAATTTTGAAGGTGATTGAAATAATACATGCAAAGGTAATAGCATAGCAAAAGTACCTGATATGCCATAACTGCTTAATACAAGTGAGTTATTATATTTTCTTCTGAAGTCCAAATTATAGTTATCTGTGCCAAAAAAATGTTGTTACTTATGTTATTGCTTTGGGGAATATTTTTATTTCTTCATATAGACTATAAGAGATAGTCTTTTAAAGGAAATAAATCTAAGTTGTGTTGGAAAGAATTCAAATACTAGATAGAGAAGTTACTGTTTCTGTTCAATTATTTGCTTGAACATTTTACGAAAAGACACTACCTTCTTAGATGGAGCTGAATGCTCCAAATGGTTCTGTTGGCTTGACATATTTACCTTCTTCTTCAGTACAAGTGTGTCTTTCTGCAATATATATTCACTAGTCCACCTACTATTTGTTGAAATTACAAGAGAAAATAAACAATAAAAGATAGTTTCTAAGTACTTCTGTGTTTTTATTCTCTGAGATAAGAATTCTAAGTCATAAAAGTGCTGTTCAGATTTTTATAAATGCTAATGAATAGTCTTGCCAATGTATTTTAATAGAACTCATGGAAAGCTAAATCTGCATTGTGTTTTTTACATTTATCTGATTTGATTTCCATTGTATTACATACGGTGATTTGTGCCAGAAAAGAAACTGTTTTAGATTGTTCAAATCCCAATGTTATCATTTATGAATTTATGGTTTGTAAGAATTTAATTATAAAAACTTCTTTTGGTTTCTACATTTTAATAGCTGGTCACATAGGCTGAATTATTATTTATCCTACAGAAGATAATAATTATTTTATATTTTTCCTTATTATTTTGTAATAAGAAAAAAATAGGATTATTTTCTGTAGTATAAAATAAGATTATCCTACATGATCATGTGTAGGATAAATAATTGCTAGGTGGGGAGTTTGAATCACAATAGGAATAATTATAATAATTACTATGGCAATAATAAAAACATGAAAATTATAAAAAAGGAGAGGTAGAACATAAAGTATGAAAAATAGATAATTACTAACATTTATAAAAGATTTATTGTGTGCCAGGAACTGTACTTGATACTTTGTTGATTTTAATGAATTCTCAAAATAACATACAGATAAATATAATTGACATTCCAATTTGAAAATAATGGAATCTAAGTTTTAAAGAGTTCAAATGATTCATTCACTGTTATGTGTCTTGTAACATGATTCAGTTTGGAAACTCACATGCGGATAAGCAAAAAAAAAAAAAAATTATAAAGGCCATGTATTTTGAGTCCTTTCTTAGTGAAGTTAAAATTTTATTTTGTACATAATTATCACTCAGTGACTAAGATAATATTATCAGTATAGACCCTCACCTTATCGTTTACTAATGAATATTAATGATTTTATGATCGTCTCTCTATCAAATCTTAAACACATATACAACATACATATAATATATGCACACAACATTTTCAAATGTAAGACTGGGATAGTTCCTTTCTGTAAAACACATAATATAAACATATGATATATCCATATATATATAAAATTTTTTTCTGGAATTAGTGGAAAATATTATTTACAATCTACAGGACCTTTCTTTTTAATGACATTGTTTCAAATTTAGCACCAGAGGAAATATGAATAATGGTTGGTTTCAGGATGTTTGTTTGTTATTATTATTATTATTTTTTAATTGAGACAGGGTCTTGGTCTGTCCCTCAGGTTGGAGTGTAGTGGTACAATCACAGCGCTACCTCCTGGGCTCAAGTAATCCTCCTATCTTAGTCTCCCGAGTAGCTGGGATGACAGGCGCATGCCACCATGCCTGGCTGGTTTCAGAAACTTTCAAAAATAGTTGATATCGTCTGTGTAATTTGAACATAGGTTCCCTTCAAGCTCCTTAGAAGTAAAACGATATACCCAAAAAATTGTTGTATTCCTTAACAAGACATAACATAAATTACATTACTTTGTCATTTAAATTTTAGATTATGTTGTAGAGTCTACTGGCAAGAAGAGAAATAAGAACATGAAGAAAGTTTTTTGTGAGAGTAATGTAGCATTCTAAAAATTACTTTTATCTTCCTTAAATTTATATTGCTACATATCCTTTATAAAATTAAAAGCATACTCACTAGCTTAGCAAGTTGATAATCTACATTATGAGTTTAGCCAGATAATTACAGTGTTATATCAGAATATCTTGAGATAGCATAAGTTGAAAAAAATGACAAATATAAAATAGCAAGTCAGACACTACATTTTCTAAAAATGGACAATTTATTTTTCTTCACCAGAAAATAAACTATATACTAGAGATGATGATCAAATAACTAGCTTTTTACTATAGTATTGTTAGAGAGGAATTTAATGATGCTTATTTCTCTAATAATCCTACTGTACTATTTTGTAGAATATATACTATATGTTTTTATTAGCTAAGCAAATTGATTTGAGACGTAGTCTTAACTATTTTATCATTTTTTTGCTTTGACTTCATTCCTCTTCTTCCTGTGTAAAATGCAGTTCTCATGCTCAGCCCATTAGGGCAAGAATGGCATCTTCCATATGAGCAGAACAGAAATGTTAATGAACATGATTTCATGAAGAAGGAGGCTCAACCTAAACTTGACAATTTATTTAACTACAGTTTAACCCTTTCTCGTGTAACAAGAATATTGATATTTTTATTGTTAAGTAAACTTATCAATATTCTTGTTACATGAGAAAAACATTCATGTATGAGTTTTCTTAAGCAACTCTTACTTAGGTGGTCAATGTATGTAACCAGGCCTAATGTCAATCAGTACAGAATTGTACATAGTTATTCTTATACAAAAAAATAAATAAGTGAAGTGCCACCCTGCTTTAAAAACACTGCTATGGGTTGAATGTGTCCCCCAGACAAGCATGTGTTGGAAATGTAATCCTCAGTGCAACAGTATTGGAAAGTGGGGCCTGATGATTAGGTGATTAGGCCTTGAGTGTGGAGTGAATGGATTAAGGCCATTAGAGTGGGAGTAGGCTTGTTATCTCAGGAGTGGGTTTATAACGAAAGGGGCAGTTTGAGTCCCCTGTTCTCTCTCGATCTGTCCCTCTCCTTGTCTTTTCACCATGTGATGAACTTCTGCCATGCTATGTTGCAGCAAGAAGGCCAATGCCAAATGCTGTCAGCTTAATCTTGGACTTCCCAGCCTCAAGAACTGTGAGAAATAAATTCCTGTTCATTATAAATTACTCAGTCTATGCTATTCTGTTATAGTAGCACAACGCAGACTAAGAGAAACACCAAATGAATAAAAAGCCAGAAGACATTTGCTATTTAAAGTATATACATTTATAAATGTGAAAGATATTTTAAAAGTGACCCAGTCATAAGATAATGATTTGAAGCTAAGTATTTGCTTCCCGTTTTATAAAAATTTCATTGAAATTTTCAAGGAAAAATAAATGTGAAATAAGAGAAAAAGCCTAAAATTTTCAGATGTTACACACACTTAAAATCTTGAAAGTGCAAAATAAAATTACAGAAACAAACCTATTCTGTTTCAAGTTTTTGAAAAATAAAAATATTTGAGCAGTGGCCTCTACAATTTATTTAACTAATTTCTTCGAAAAATGTCAGTTTCTCTATATTAAATTTAAAAAAAAAAACAAATTAAGAGGCACATAAAAGGCACACAACATTGAAAGGATTGGCTCATTCTAAGAAACTGGAAATAATATTCATGAAGAAAGCAAACTTATAGTATGACATTAAACAATATGTAAAATATTTAACTTAGATTTTCAATGATAACCAAGAGGACACTGCATAGTAGAAAACTTCCAAATACCAACTAAGACTATATTCAGAAAAAAGGATTATCAATATCAAAATATAATGGATACAGTTAAACACAGATTACATGAACATAAAATTGAATTGGTAATTCAGTGTTCATCTTGAGAGTGTTTCCAAAAACACAGAAGAGACAAAGTTAATAGTGATTTATTTCTCAATAGCCATGATATTATCTCCTTTGCATCCTCCTAGACATTTCTCAGAGCCTTTACATGTAGGTGGGACCATTTACCTAATACCTGCTATTCACATGTGGCCAAGATATGTCTTCCCTATGCATTGAATTTTCTTGTCTACCATTACTTGCAGAGGTCCAATAATAAAGGGGTCAATTTCACAAAATATATAAAAATCCTAAGTGTGTATGTACTTGACAACAAAGCATAAAATCACACAATTACACAGGTATTAAACAATCTGCTCCTGAATGACTTTTGGGTAAAGAATAAAATTAAGGCAGAAATTAACAAATTCTTGGAAACTAATGAAAACAAAGATACAATATACCAGAATCTTGGGACACAGCCAAACCAATGGTAAGAGGAAAGTTTATAGCACTAAATGCCTATATCAAAAAGTTAGAAAGATCTCAAATTAACAACCTAATATCACACCTACAGGAAATACAAAAACCAGAGTAAGCCAACACCAAACCTAGCAAAAGAAAAGAAATAGCCAAAATCAGAGCTGAACTGAACAAAACTGAGATGTGAAAATGCCTATAAAAGATCAATGAAATCAAAAGCTGGTTATTTAAAAGAATAAATAAGTTTGATATACTACTAGCTAGGTTAATTTAAAGAAGGGAGAAGCTCTCAATAAACACAGTCCGAAATGACATTACTGCCGATCCCATAGAAATACAAACAAACAAACCAAAAAAAAAAAAAAAAAAACTATCAGAGACAATTATGAATACCTATTTACGCAAACAATAAAAGCTAAAAAAAATGGATAAATTCCTAGAAACATATAACCTATTAAGATTGAATCAGGAAGAAATTGAATACCTGAACGGACCAATAATGAGTTCTGGAATTGTATCAGTACCAAAAAGCCTACCAACCAGAAAAATCCCTGGGCCAGATAGATTCACAACTGAATTCTACCGGATGTATAAAGAAGAGCTGATACCAATCTTACTGATACTATTCCAGAAAATCAAAGCGAGGGGACTCTTTCCTAACTCATTCTATGAGCCCAGCATCATTCTGATACTAAAACCTGGCAGAGACACTAAGAGAAAGAAAAATTTCATATCCTTGATGAACACATATGCAAAAATTATCATCAAAATACTACCAAATAGAATTCGGAAGCACATCAAAAAGCTAATCCACCATGATTATGTAGGCTTTAATTCCTGGGATGCAAAGTTAGTTCAACATACACAAATAAATATATGTGACTGATGTCATACACAACTAAAAACAAAAACCACATGATCATCTCAATAGACTCAGAAAAGGCTTTCAACAAAATTCAACATCACTTCCTGTTTTAAAAAACAACAAATTAGTCATCAAGGGAACACCTCAAAATAAGAGCCATCTATGACAAAGCCACAGTCATCATCATACTGAACAGACAAAAGGTGAAAGCATTCCCCTGAGGCCTGAAACAAGACAAAGATGCTCACTCTCACCACTCCTATTCAGTGTAGTACTGGAAGTCCTAGCCAGAGCAATCGCACAAGAGAAAAAAGTAAAAGGCACCCAAACAGGAAGAGAGAAAGTCAAACAATCTCTCTTTACAGATGACATAATTCTACACCTAGAAAACCCCACAGTCTCTGCCCAAAGGCTCCTAGACCTAATAACTTCAGTCAAGTTTTAGGATACAAAGTTAATGTTCAAAAATCAGTAGCATTTCTATACACCAGTAATGTCGAAGCTGATAACTCAATCAAGAATCTCATTTACAAAAGCCAAAAAAAGAATAAAATACCTAGAAATATAGCTAACCAAGGATGTGACAATGAGAATTACAAATCACTATTGACAAAAATCAGAGATGACACAATAAAATAAAAAAGTTCCATGATCCTGAAAAAGAAAAATCAATATGGTTAGAATGGTCATATGGCCAAAAACAATTTACAGGTTCTATTCTATTCCTATCCAACTGTGAAAGTCATTTTTCACAGAATTAAAATAAACTATTCATAGGGAATCAATAAAGAACCTGAATATCCAAAGCAATCCTAAGTGAAAAGAACGAAGCTAGAGAAATCATACTACCCAACACCAATCTATACTACAGAGCTACAGTAACCAAAACAGCATGATATTGGTACAAAAAACGGATACATAGACTAACTGAACAGGTTAGAGAACCCAGAAATAAAGGCCCATAACTTCAACCATTTGACCATCAACAATTACAAACACAGGGGAAAGGACTCCCTATTTAACAAATGTTGCTGGGATAACTGGCTAGCCATATGAAGAAGACTGAAATTAAAACCATTATTTACACCATATACAAAAATCAATTCAACATGTTTTAAAGACTTAAAAGTGAAACCTAAATCTGTAAAAACCCTAGAAGAAAATCTGGGAAATACTATTCTAGACATATGCCTTGGCATAGATTTCATCATGAAGGCTCCAAAAGCAACTGCAGCAAAAACAAAAATAGACAAGTAGGACCTAATTAAACTGAAAAGCTTCTGCACAGCGAAATAAACTACCAACAGAGTAAACAGAAATCTACAGAAAGGGAAAAAAATTACAAACTATGCATTCAACAAAGGTCTAATATCCATAATCTATAAGGAACTTAAATCAACAAACAAAAAACAGCTTTATTAAAAAAAATTGCAAAGGATATGAACAGACACTTCTCAAAAGAAGACACACATGTGGCCAACAAGCATATGAAAAAATGCTTGGCCGAACATGATGCATCATGCCCGTAATCCCAGCACTTTGGGAGGCCGAAGCCGGTGGATCACCTGATGTCAGGAGTTCAAGACCAGCCTGGACAACATGGTGAAACCCCGTCTCTACTAAAGATACAAAAATTAGCTGGGCATAGTGGCACGTGCTTGTAATCCCAGCTTCTTGGGAGGCTGAGGCAGGAAAATTGCTTGAGCCTGGGAGGCGGAGGTTGCAGTGAGCCGAAACTGCACCATTTTACTCCAGCCTGGGCAACAGAGCAAGACTCCGTTTAAAATAAAATAAAATAAAATAAAAATGATTAATAATAAATAAAATAAAAATGATCAACATCACTAATCATTAGGGAAATGCAAATGCAAATCAAAAGCACAGTGAGACACCATCTCACACCAGTTAGGATGTGTTTATTTAAAAAATAAACAGATGTTGGTGAGGTTGCAGACAAAAGGGAATGCTTATACATTGCTGGTAGGAATATAAATTAATTCACCCGCTGTGGATAGCACTTTGGAGACTTCTCAAACAACTTAAAACAAAACTACCATTTGACTCAGCAATGCCATTACTGGGAATATACCCAAAAGAATATAAATTATTCTATGATAAAGACATGTGCATGCCTATGTTCATCGCAGCACTTTTCACAATAGCAAAGACATAGAATCAACCTAGATGTCCATTAATAGTGGGCTGGATAAAGAAAATTAGGTACATATACACCATGGACTACTATGCAGCCATAAAAGAATGGAATTGTGTCCTTTGCAGCAACATGAATGCAGCTGGGGGCCATTATCTTCAGCAAATAAATCCAGGAACAGAAAACATGTTTGACTCTGAAGTGGAAGCTAAACATTGAGAATGCATGGACACAAAGAGGGGAACAATAGAGATCAGGGCTTACTTGAGGTTGGAGGCTAGGAGGAGAGTAAAGATAAAAAAATTACCTATCTGCCGAGTGCAGTGGCTCATGTTTGTAATCCCAGGACTTTGGGAGGCCAAGGGGGTTGGATTGTGCAGTCAAGAGTTCAAAGCCAGCCTGGCCAACACAGTGAAACCCCATCTCTACTAAAGATACAAAAAATTAGCCAGGCGTCGTGGGGTGCACCTGTAATCCCAGCTACTCGGGAGGCTGAGTCAGGAGAATTGCTTGAACCCAGGAGGTGGAGGTTGCAGTGAGCAGAGATCGCGCCATTGCACTCCAGCCTGGGTAATAGGGTGAGACTCCATCTCAAAAAAAAAAGAAAAAAAGAAAAAAAAAAAAAACCTACCTATCAAGTACTATATACTATGCTCACTACCTGGGTGATAAAATCATTTGTACACAAACCCACAGAAACACACTATTTGCCCATGTAACAAACCTGCACATGTACCCACCCCAACCTAAAATAAATGTTTCAAGAAAACAAAGATCCTTAACACAACCGAAGTCCAAATCTGATTGTTTAAAAAAGATAACTAACATTGTTAAACATATATCCAGGCTAACAAAAGAAAAAGGGAGAGAGAAAGAGAAGAGAGAAAACACAAATCCTGCATATCAGAAATAAAAGAGAGGTCATTACTATTTCTCCCAATGTTATTATTTCAATGATAAAAAAGAAATATTATGAACAACTCTATGACAAAAAATTTAAAATCAGATGAAATGAACCAATTCTTTGAAAGACACAACTTATAAAAATTACAAAAATAGTAATAGATTACCTGAAGAGCTCTATAAATCAATAATTAAATCTTTCCAAAAATGTAAACCACCACTTCTGATTTTCAGTACGGCATATAGGAAACTTAAAAGTTTTCACTCCATTCAAACGACAAATTAAAAGCTGAACAAAAAGAAAAATCAACAACTTTTCTTCAGAAAAGTTTTCAGAAAAATGAGGTCACGGGGCAAACAGCTGTTCCAAAAATTGGAGAGATAGACATGTGGATACAGAGAGTCACAAATTACCAGAGCAGAAACTCATTAACAGAAACTGTTGCAGAAACCAATGCTGGGGCACAAAAACCTGAAACTGTAATTGATGATTTGCTGAAGGCCCAGTCTGGACAAGCTAAGAGGTAAAAGCTCCCCGGGGACTCAGTTATAGGTGGCCTAACACTCCTGTTTTATCATCAGGAGCTCTTCCAGGTCATCATAGCAGATATTAGAAAAACAACAACAACAACAAAAACAAATAAGCAAAAAAAAAAAAAAAAAAAAAAAAACTAAAATGCAGACAATTTCCAAATAATTTTCTGCTCTCAAGCAGTATGGACTGCTCATATTTCCTTCTAAAGACTACAGTATGGAAAACGGGAAAAAGAGTAATTTTACAGTAAAGAAACCTGACAAACATTACCTCAGCCAAGCATCAACAGTGATCAGTCATATGAATAGTAAGTGCCCTTAATATGATGTGGTGAAACTGGCATATACCTATGTGCTCATTCTCCAGTAAATCCACTCCAATCATGAGAAGACCATTAGACAAATCCTTATTTAGGGGCATTCTGCAAAATACTTGTACAGTACTCCTCAAGGTTGTCAAAGTCATTACACAAAGAAAAATCTGATGAATTTTCAGAGTCAAGAGGAGCCGAAGGAGACATGACAAGTCAATGTGATCATGGGATAGAAACAGAACATGAGGTAAAAACTAAGAAAATCCGAGTATAGTCTTAAATTAATAATAATTATAGCAAATGAACCACACTTGGAAGAATATGTTAATAATATAGGAAACTAGTTTTAGGCTTATAAGAACTTTCTTATCTTCTCACAGTTCTCTATAAATCTAAAACTGTTTTAAAATTAAAATTCCTTAAAAAAAGGAAGTACGACAGGAAAATACAGAAGTGGCAATGTAGGTGACTATTTCCAATATAATTGCATAATTAAGAAATTGTGTAATCATCCCATAATAAGAAATTATGGTTATTTAAGAATAATATAAAATAAAATATTTGTAGTATTTTATCTTTATTTTAAAAATCTCTATTAAGTTGCTAGGACATGTTTATTAAGCTGTTTGAACCCAAATACTTATAAAGGAAAATTTTAGCATGTTACTTTTTTCTAGTCACACTTTAAAAAAATGATTGAGACAGTAAGGGAACCATAAACTAGATAGTTTGGAAACATCTTCCCTCATTGGAATACATGGCCCTAGAACAGTGGTTCTCAAAGTGTCCTCCAGGCACCTCTGGGAATCCCCAGTGCTCTTTCAGTACCCTGAATGGGTAGGCTATTTTAAAATTAATACTGAGATGTTAAAATCTTGTTTTTACTTTTCAAAATTATTTTAAATATATTTAATTTTAAGTAATACTCAAGTATTTTAAAACTTATTCTCTGAAAATGCACAGCACAGTGTTCCAAATGCTACATGACATGAGATACTGAAAATTAACGAATGCAGAGGCAGATATCTGAATGTAGCTGTCATCTGCCAAGCTAGACACTAAAGAGACTTGCAACAATGTGAAACAATGTCACTCTTCTCACCAATTTTCTTTGCTGAAAAATATAGTTTTAAAAATATTAATTACACTAATATGTAATGAATTTATTACTGTTTTTAAGTGGAGTAAATAAATATCTCTAAAATTGAATCTTTAAATTTTTACTATAGTAAATATCAATTGATATAACTTATTTAAATGAAAGACCTTGTGATTCTTAATAATTCTCAGAAATGGAAAGGCTCCTGAGACTAAAATCTTTGAGGACTTCACTGTGGATGACTGCAGAGTCATAGATCAAAGATACAGGAGTCCCTGGGTAACAGCATGTAGCAGAGATGCACTTGCTGCTATGCAACATTACCTGAGCAAATTTGTCTTTCAAATTTGGATCTACACATGTATCAGAGGAACAGTGTAGCTGCTCTTCAATATTCCAAAAGCAGTTTCTGAATTTCCATCTCCATTCTATTATTACTTTTAACCAAGTTCAGCATTTCTGGCACTGAATGAAAAAGATCTTAACAGCAGGTGTGACGTTAAAAAAAAATTAAGCTTACATTTCAAGGCATATCAATTTAATTTCTTTGCTTCAGGTTCTAGTAAATGAATCTGTATGTCTGCAAACAACTATTAGTTTATAATAAGTCTCAGTATATTGACAGAACTATCTGCAAAGTACAGTATTCATGATATCCTTTGTTGATGCAGTTTTTTTAAAAAAAACTTAGTCTGTGTCCTGCTATTTTGTTTGGAAATCATATATATGGATGTGACATTCTACTTCCAAAATAATTTCTTGCATGTTCTGTATGTTGTCTGTCATTAAAAAACAAGAAAAAAAACCTCTTTTATATTTGGAGATAAATATTTATATTTTGCTTTCTAAACACCTATATAAATAATATTACAAAATACCTTAGGCTCGTCATTCTTAACTCATGCATAATTTTTACTTTGATTTTACATGTTTAAATATGAAATTTTTTGAGACTGCACCTCATGTTGAAACTTCCTGAAAGTACTTACAAAATTAAATTGGTATGACAACACAAGTCACCCTTAATAACTTAAAAAATAATAATGATCAGACATTATACAACCACATTCTATGAAAACACAAACCCTCCAGAAACCCTTTACTGTATATGTTTTTATGAACCTAACACTCCCCTAATCTATGACAGTAAGAATGTAATGAACATGTTGTTCTTGAAGTACATATGGGCTAATGGACCTAATAGGAGAATGAGCTAGATAAGGAATTGTATTTCAAAATTAGTTGTTTCTTGATAAACTAAGCTTTCTCTACCTTGCTTTTTGTAAGTATGAGCCAGTTTAGAAAAAAAGAAAAAAAAAAAGGATCATGCCTTGGCACACTGGCATTAAAATGCTTCATGGTCTCTTAATTCAAATATGACAAAAATTTCAGTTACTTAGAATGTTAGCATGTAGAACTATAAATAGTCCTCAAGTATAGGAGGAGATACAAGTACCTAGATGTTACCTGCAAATGAGAAACAGTTTTGTGTGTGTGTGTGTGTGCATGTGTGTGTGTGTTTTGAAAGGGAGTTTCGCTCCTCTTGCCCAGGCTAGAATGCAATGGTGCAATCTCGGCTCACTGCAACCTCTGCCTCCCAGGTTCAAGCGATTCTCCTGCCTCAGCCTCCCGAGTAGCTGGGATTACAGGAGTGCACCACCACATCCAGATAATTTTGTATTTTTAATAGGAATGGGGTTTCAACATGTTGGTCAGGCTGGTCTCGAACTCCTGACTTCAACTGATCCACCCCCCTCAGCCTTCCAAAGTGCTGGGATTACAGGCGTGAGCCACCACGCCCGGCCGAGAAACAGAATTTTTTAGACATCTCTTGATATTTGGCTACTCAGGAACTGAACTTTTATCTATTATTAGGAAATTTCAATCCTACCATTGTGAAAGTCAAACATTCAAATGCCATATTCACTTTGAACCTGTCTGCAGTCCAGGACATGGACCCATGGACTCTGGCTTGCCCATCTGACATATCATTCTGGAGCTTTGAATCTGCACTACTGATGCAGTGAAGCATGGGGAGGGCAGCAGTTGAGGGTCAAGTGAGATGCCAGCAACCTTCAAATTTCAGAGACAAGAGCAGCTGTCAGTAAACAGCCTGATCTCTAATGTTAGTGACAGTAAGAACACAAATACCTAGTATTCAATAATTACAGCAATATGATTAAATGATGCCATGATCATGGCCGCAATCACTCTGCTTAGATTCCCTTTCTTTCTGCTCATTTTATGACTTTGTCTTCAGCATTTTATCAGTTCCATAAGCTAAGAAAATATATTCATTAATTTCTTTCTGTGCAATTAGTCCAAAGAGGTTCTGTATTTTGTAACTAGGATACTTATATGCTATAAAGAAATTGATTGCACCAGAATTTTAGAATTATTTTCTTAGATGTGAATTTTTTATATTAATTTTGTCTAGAAATCTGCATATGCCTTACTGTATTAATGTTGGATCATGTTTTCTTATGCTATAATTGAGACTTTCATATTTCCACAATGTATTTTATAAGTTCTGTGTATTGGGACATCTTTTCTTCCCCCATTTTCATATTTCTCATTGTACCAAAGTAAAAGAAAATTATATGACATTTATTGAACATCTGATGTAAGCAAGGTATTGTGCTCGATGATACAATTCTATCAGACGTTATAATTTATTTTGGATGACATGATTCTATAAAATATGTCCTGACTTCAAGAGGCTTTTATATACTGTTGAGACAACTGTACAACAGGATAGTATAACACTAGACATGTCACAAAGCAGGTTAGTGTTGCAAATAATTTATATACCTATTCTATTGTAGTCTCAAAGTCAAATAAATTAGAATATTTTATGACAACCCTGTCAAATTATAATCACTAAAGATTATATAAAATGCACACATGCGGCTGGGCGCTGTGTCTCAAACCTGTAATCCCAGCACTTTGAGAGGCTAAATCAGGTGGATCACCTGAGTTCGGGAGTTCAAGACCAGCAACACCAACATGGAGAAACCCCATCTCTACTAAAAATACAAAATCAGCTGGGCATGGTGGCACATGCCTGTAGTTTCAGCTACTGGGGAGGTTAAGGGAGGAAAATTGCTTGAACCCAACCCGGAAGGCGGAGGTTGCAGTGAGCCGAGATGGCGCCATTGTACTCCAGGCTGGGGAACAAGAGTGGAACTCCGTCTTAAAAAAAAAAAAAAAAAAAAAGCGCACATGCACACACATATAATATAGATAATATAAACAAATAAAAAAGCACTGGCCCCATAATTGTGAGTTTCCTATTTTTCTCCTTTCCTCTGAATGTGAAACTTCTACTTTTTTTGCAATAAAATTGCATGGAATAAACTTTTCTGCATGCTTTCACACTTGTATAGAATTTCTACTTAGCCACAGTTTTGTCATAGGCAGCTACTCTAACACTAATACATCTGCCAGGGAAAATTTCAAGACTAAAAAAAAAATTGTATGAGAATTTATAGCAAATAACCATGGGAAGATGCATCTGTACATTTAACATTTGACACATTTTCTCATCTGAGGTTAATATACACAAACAAAAAATTATATTATAAATGAGAAATTAGAAATATATCAAGTATTTTAATGTTAACATTAAATGGCAAAGCAAATATAATCATGATACAGTTCTACAATAGTATACATATGTTTATCTGTATAGTCTTAATAGTAAAATGTGAAATTTAATTTTTTCTAATAGGTTTTAAATAGGGTTTTGAACTCCTGGAAAGGTGTAAATAGCCTTCACTAGTTTATCTCAATAGATAATAGATTGCTATAGAAAAGGGACTACTCTAGATTATTGTAATAATAGATTATTATAATGATAGATCGCTATAACAAATTATAATAGAGCTTACATGTTTACCTAAGAAAAACTGTATCTTTTGATTTGGAGAAAATAAACAGGTTAATAGATTCTATTTCCTTATAATTTACATAATAAAGCAGCACTTTGAATTTTCTTAAGCTCTTATTAGAATTCTTTTGTAGAAATAAACATCAGATGCAATTTATTAAATTATTTATGTATGTTTATTTCAAGAACATTAATATGATCATGTACTGCCAGAAAAAATTACTTTTTTTGATAGTTAGTACATTTTGAATAATTTGGCATTGTTTAAAGAGTGAATTTTCAAAATAAAATGCTCATAATTATTCCAGGGGAGAGTAGCTTAAAGCATTGCAAGTAGCTAATAAAATGTTTTTCAGTAGCAAAATATATGCTGTACACATTAATGGAATTTTTTATTTAAAGAAAATATTTTTCTCTATATTATATAGATTTCATTCTATTTTATTTATGTGAATTTTATACATAATGTATTTTAGAAAGTAAAGGTAATAAAAATGTTTCGATCATTAAGCCATATTTACTAAATCAGTAATTCTGAAGTATATTGTCAAACATAGAAAATATGAAACTCAGTTCATGTATGATCATAACAAAAATGTAACTACAATCCTCACTATTAAAATTATACTTCTATCATTAGACTTTGTACTAACTTCTAGAAAGACAAAAGAGACTATCTTAACAACAACCCACGGGGCTTAAAGGAATGGACACTTAAACCATCTCTGCTAGTCAGTTTTCCATATTGAACAAAATGTAGAACATAATGAAATACCCGATTGGATGAGTGATGACAATTTTAATGTTTTTAGTTGGTTCATCTTAGTGGAAAGTTAACTATTTAGATAGACAACAATTCCTCAATTCTTATTCCAGTATATAACAAAAAGACTCCAGGCTTTGGGAAGTTTGGCTGGGTGAGCCCGAAGAGTACCATGTTTTGTAAAAATGTATATTAATTAATGATTATTTATTGAATATATTGTGAACCAAAAACTCTAATAGTAGTTGTATTAAGTAGGTTTTCCATATCAAATACTTTGCCTAATAAGCTGAAAAACATATGCCAACTAATTTCAATCTACTATGAAGCTTGAATAAAATTGGGCATAAAATATGAAGATGAGGAACATTTTATATTAGGTACCTGAACTTAAAAATATTGTTAAAAAGGAGGAGAGGAAAAGCCAGTCACATTAAATGAATCTATGAACTTCCTATGCTGTGGTTTCTTTATTTCTTCATTGTTCTATTAATGTGTTATTATTAGTTTGTAAAATAAAAATGCTGTCCAATAACTTTACCATTATATTTTATCTTGTTTTAATAACGACTCCTTTTCAACCTTGGAAAATGTTTGTCAGATTTAAAAATCACTGACCTAAACCCTACAGAAGGAATAGTTTTGCCAACATTTCTTGAGCAAACTTTCTGAGAAGAAATACAAATATATCTACTAGACATTTTAGCTGCTCTTATTCACAGTTGAATTCCAGGCCATGTAGGCAATTAAATAGTAGTGGGACAAAGAAAATTGAATTTGGAGTGAGGGTTGAAAATATTTTCATTGTACTTTTGACTACCTTGAAGTTATGTATGCAAAATATCACTATTATTTCTTAGTTTTGGTGAAATATGCTTTTCATGGTAATGTTTATTTTAATAAGACTCTACCTTTGTTTCAATTCCACAAACTAATGGTCAAGTCAAGCATTTTAGTGAGACTTTCTTTCTTTTCTTTTGAAGTAATAAAGTGAATATCACAAGATTATGATTTCATTATGTTTTAAATTTAGGGATTGCATTTATCTCATTATGTGGCTCTTCTAGCCACAGTGAGAGAAAATAGCGTGGGCTATATCACAAACTCTATTAGTCCATTCTTGCATTGCTATAAACACTTGAGACTAGGTAATTTATAAAAAGAAAAAAAAAGGTTTATAGCTGGGAGTCGTGGCCCGCACCTGTGGTCCCAGGTACTCAGGAAGCTGAGGCATTAGAATTGCTTGAACCTGGCAGGCAGTTTGCAGTGAGCCCAGATGGTGCCACTGTACTCCTGCCTGGGAAACAGAGTGAGACTCTGTCTCAAAAAAAAAGAAGAAAAAACAAGCAAAAAAAAAAGCAAGAAAGCAAGGAAAGAAGGAAGGGAGGGAGCAAAGAGAGAAGGAAGGAAGGAAGGAAGGAAGGAAGGAAGGAAGGAAGGAAGGAAGGGAGAAGAGAAGAGAAAAGTGGGGAAGAGGAGGAAGGAAGGAAGGAAAAAGAAAAGAAAAGAAAAGAAAAGAGGTTTAATTGTCTCACAGTTCTTCACAGGCTTTACAGGAAGCAAAGCAGCATCTGCTTCTGAGGAGGCCTCAGGGAGCTTTTACTCATTTGGAAGGAGACCCGAAAGCAGGCACATCTCATGGCAAGAACAGAGCAAGAGAGAGAGAGAAGGTGCCACACACTTTTAAACAACTGATTCTCACTAGAATTCACTCACTCTCTTGAGGAAAGCACCAAGGATATGGTGCTAAACCAGTCATGAGTAATCCACCTCTATTATCCAATCACCTCCCGCCAGGCTCCACTTCCAATACTGGGGATTACAATTCAACAGAGATTTGAGCGGGGACATATATCCAAACTATATCACAAACCATCCAGTCTCCTATTGCTAAAACAAATGGAACCATGGTATGCACATGAGTAAATTTATATGGGTAACTGTACAGCAAAAAAAAAAAAAAAAAAGAGAGAGAGAGAGCAAACAAATAAATAATAGCCATTAGAGAGTTAAATGAAAAATTCAGAGAGCTTAATTAACATGAGGGATATATAATTAATTAATAGAACCCAGAGTATCCCACTCTTCTTATGGATATGTTACCTTCCTATCTCACCAGAGATCAGATGCTGGGAAAATATACAGCAATACCTAAGTAGACATAAACGTTTTTTTCACTGATGTACTGTAACCGTTTTCAACAATTGGATATTGACTTACCACCCTTGAATTATATCAGCTCTATCTTATGTTCTGTACAATGGAATCAGGTCATATGCATATTTAGCCTGCTTAATTGTAGCAATATGACGGAGAAACATGATATTAAAATGAAGATAGAAGTAGAGATTGAAAGGAAGAGAGAGAGAAGCAAATAATTTTAAAAAAGGGGGATAGAGTATTTCCTCATTCTAACAAAAACTTGACCTCCATTACTTCCAGAGGGGAAAAAATCCATGAATAAAATGCATATTATTTTAAGAATCTGAAGTTCCAGGTTTTGAAATTGAAGGATTATTTGTGAGATTATCAAGGCTAATTTTGGCTATATGTGATTTTTTCTACTGGCAGTGTGACTTTACATTGCAATCCAAGAGTAAGAGGGAAATCAATTTTACACAAATTATAAAAAAGGGACAGCCAAGAGTAATCTGTGTTTGAAAAAGAAAAGCCAGTGGAGAAAGGGGCATATGCCCAATTTCCTATCACATCTCTCAGGGTAGATTAAAGTTCATCCTACAGATTTATTCTGATTATATTTGTAGTTATGGGCTATTCCTTCATCACTGTCCATTTTTCCTAATTGGCAAGCATTTTTCTCAAGTATCGGACAGTTCCTTTTTAAGTTCAAAAGGCTATAAGGTTCAGAAAGGATTTACCAAGAGTAGCATGAGATTCAATTCTAAATGTGATTAGAAATGATCCTTAAATGTCGACTTGACTGAATATAATCAGCTTATACCACTGAAAAATGTGTGTTCTGTTCTGTCATCCTTCTTATATTTGACAAGGTCAATAATACCAAAGCTGCAGAGTCAAGATAGCTATTTTTTTTTTTTTTGCCTGAACTATATAAAGGACCATTAGGGGAAAAAAGGCAAAATATGATTGATTTGGAAAAAATGAATAAAACCTGTTTTAGTATTAAATTAAAAACCTTTCCAAAAGCTGAAATGTTTATAATGAATACATAATAATGAAAGAAAAGAACCATATATATACATTATATATATTATATATACATATATACATTATATATGTATATATTTGATTCATCTTGGCTATGATAGCTTTGCCTTGTCTCTAATAATGTTATATATGTTACACTTTTAACTATTTAAACTTTAGTTGCCAGGTTTCCCAATGTCTTTACATCTCTGTCATATATGCAAATTCCGGCTTATGCTTTGTGGTGTTCTTCTATACTTACATAAAACATAATAAAAGGAAAGGATCATACTATCAAGTTATGGACAAACATAATAGAAAAAAATGGGTCAAGTCACATTTTCACTGTTTATCAATGTTTTCCTACATGACTAGGATCACAAAATACCCACCTGGCTTAATATAAATCATTGGTTTTTATTTCAGTTTGTCATTCATCCACTGTAGTTGAAAAATAAGGTTGCATAGTTCTATGATTCCAAAGGAAAGTGATCATGAACACTTAATTATCTTTTTATTTCTGCATTTCACTGGAGGCTGCAAAAATAGCAAGGTATATAAAAAATCAGCAAAGAGAGAGATGGAAAATGTAATGAGTAAGCAGGCTGGTGACTGAGTACCAATTCCCATAATAAAACAAATTGCATATTAACTTTCAAAAAGTGTTGAGGGAAAAAGAAGAAAAAAAAAAAAGGAAACAAGACCTCTGTTAGGATGTAGACAGGCAAGAGGAAAGCAACAATACCCTAAGGGTAATAGCAGTAGCCAGTATGGGTGTACTGACATTTAAGCAAAGCCATCACTCAATCACTTACAGTGGTTTAGTGATCCCAGACATTCTTGTCCTATAGGGGTATATCACTCAATACAGGTAATTTAAACTCAGGATCTCATAAAAAATAGAATATATGTCAAACTCATCTAGATAGGTATCTGCATAATAAATGTGAAGTCCACAGGGGAGTATAAGCACAGTTGTCAAAATTAGGTTCAATTTAAGATAGAAAATTTAAAAAGAGATTTATAAATGTCTGAGCAAATTAAAAGTTGGGATTCTAAAACATAACTGAGCCATCCTATATGAAAACTTATTTTCCTTGGATATTGCACCCATTATCCTAACTCTGGACTTTTTAAGGTGTTCCTGCATAGGATAATCTTTCTCCTTTTACCTCTACTTGACCAACTTATCCTTCAGATACTATATTCATTGTCACTTTGCCAAGCCATTCTTAGACCAGGTCAGTTCTCATTGCTACATGAAATATCTACAGAATTAATTCTAATTCTGTCTTAAAATAGATCTCTTTTTTTAGGCAGCCCAATGTCTATCTATTTTTGTCATTAAAAGTTTTAGGAGAATTGTTGTGCACTGAAAGTATGTCAATAGATTTTTTTTTTTTTTTTGAGATGGAATCTCACTCTGTCGCCAGGCTGGAGTGGCACAACCTGGGCTCACTGCAACCTCCGCCTCCTGGGTTCAAGCGATTGTCCTGCTTCAGCCTCCCGAGTAGCTGGGACTACAGGCGTGTGCCACCACGCCCAGCTAATTTTTGTATTTTTAGTAGAGACAGGGTTTCAGTTTTACCATATTGGCAAAGAAGGTCTGGATCCCTTGACCTCGTGATCCGCACACCTTGGCCTCCCAAAGTGCTGGGATTATAGACGTAAGCCACCGTGCCTTCCCTATCAATAGATATTTTTATAGGTTTCAGTCATGTCTTTGACTAAGAGAGGGAAACACTTCCTAAGGTTTTGTCTTCTAAACTATAATATTGCCATGTATTTTCCAGCATCCTCCAAAGTACTGTCTCCTTGACAACTCATATATCAAAAAGATCAGAAGCAGAGGATTCTGATCCTATTTAAGCCAAAAGTTTTTGCACATATTTTGCTGTTTCAGAATATATAATAGTATCAATAAGATTAGTATTATGCTTTGAAGATACATGGTTAACTATAGTTTATATAACTCGGATAATTATAGAACTAGGTATTAAACATTATGAACATGATAAGAAATCTGTAATACGCATGTATGTACGGGCTGTTATTCCATACCAGATAACAGAAGCAAGAGCAAACCTCAGTTCTTCTGACTCTAAAGGTACAATGAAATTCTGTTTTAAAATTAATCCTGTATGACTATTTTTACTTTCAACAGTAACATTAAAATATCCTCTTAGACCTGTACAAGGAGAAACTCCGGCTCCGCTAAACTTAATGATTAATTTGAGTACAAACTAAATACAAGAATGGAATGTGTGAGCTAAACCAGGTCCTCCTGTTAAATGAATGTGAATCTAAGAGTTCACAAGTGTGTGAGTGAGTGTATGAGTGTGTTGATGGCAGGGAAGTAGAAAAGCGTGGCTGTAGGAAATTTGGCTGCTTTCGTTTTAAGCTGGCCACCCAAATCAGTTAAAATGTGTAACCAAACAGATAGCTGAGTTTTCTGTCTTTCCTTGACTTAAGTGGTCTTAATTGGAAAGACCTTACCTGCCTGGAAATTCAGAACAGATAAGATTATTCCACGGGATAGAGAAACAGCCTGCTCAGCTCTCTGAAGAGTGTGACGAGGTCAGTTTCCATCCTGGTTCAGGATTCCTGGACAACCCACTTCCGGCTTTGCTCTCTCCAACCCCAGTTATAAATATGCTCAGGCTCCAAGCACCAGACCTGCTGTAAGGTGAAATATGGCTTTTGGAGAGCCTCTGGGTTGTACAGTTAAGGTGTAAAGGGAACTAAAAGTGGGATCCACAGCTGGGAAAAGGGATGGGTGATACTTACATCTTCAGTTAAAACTTTACATATTTAGACCTTACTATATGGGACTCCATTTATGGCTCCTACTGTGAGGAGTGGGTCAGTAACATGCATTATACTTTGCTACTTCCTAGCAATTAGACGAGAAAAATTTACTAATATAAATCTGGAACACAGTAGGTAATTAATAAGTATTTGAAAATGAATTTATGCATAATAACATGACCAATTAAATTCAATAAGCAAGCAAATCAGACATAAAAACTTGCCATAGGCTAGATTTTTAAACTGGCTTTAAATTAGTATGTCTTAACAGATAAGAGTAGATTTTTAAAAAGGTTAATATATGTATGTGTTGTATATATAGTGTATGTATATTGTAGTGGTATATATAAACATGTAAATATAACTGGAGAAGTTTTATGTATATATGTATGTATATAAATGCAATCAGACATTATGAGCAATAAAGACTGATGGTTTCAAAGAGTTTGTGTTAATACTAGAATACTCTTAAAATGATTGGTGGATAAAGGCATAATGCATATATATATATACACAAATATATGGATGGCTGAATTATGAATAATTAATTGACTTTTCCTTAGGCTTCTCTATAATTTATTATCAAGTAGGCATTAGAGCCAAAATTTTAAATTTAATGAAAATTTTTTTTCAAATATGTAAAAGTATCTGTTAATTTTAAAAATTTAAATAAAATACTTGATGACGTACTACTGAAAGCTTGAAAATCCTCTTTTAATACTGAAGATAAACAAAAATTATACAGATTCTAATGATATGTAGTGTGACCTCTAAATTAATTTGTATTTATTCCCCTTCACTTGGTCAGCCAAGCCAGGATGGTGTTATTAGAAGAAAAATATGCCATTTAACATTTGACATCCTTCTCAATACTCAAAAATAACTCAGCATTTTGACTAAATTATATCACTTATTTTATAACAAGTATTAGTAGTTTCTGAAACTTCAGACAAATTTAATGAATTCAAATGAAAAACATATTTATTAACTATCCGACATGTGGGCATGTAGAAGTAAAGCTTGAATTTCTTATTCAACATTAAATACTTAAAGACCACAAAATAATGAATATGTGTGAAAAATCTAGTAATGCACTGCTAAATGTTGACCCTTTCTTTAGAAAGGTGACATTTGTGAAGATTGTCAATTATGTTTGAAGTTAAGAAAATAAACACAAATATCGACCAAGTCTCAATGTAAAAATATAATTAAAGGTTGCAGCAAAGTATTATTCTATTAAGTTTTACATTTTAAATTACTAAACCATCCCAGTGCTTCAGATACAGTATCAAGCTTGGGCTCAGAAGAAAAAATAATAGGTTAATAATAACAGAATTACAAAAACAAATGAACTCTTACTGCTTTGCATCCAATTCTTTATTCTTGGTGGGCATTCTTCAGTAACGGAATTTACTTTCTTAGTCACCACTTTTATGACAACAACACACTTCTAAAAGAAAAAAGGGGACTTAATTGGTGCTGCTAATTCATTCTGTTTTATAGCCCATTTCTCCAATTAAAGATTCAGAGAAAAATGCATGCTCAGGATGACTTTGCAAAGGATAGCACTGACTTTGATATTTTTCTGAAGAATCATCCCGTCTATCCACATCTCTATTTCACATCAATTACATCTGATGTATATCCAGTTTTCACAAAAAAAAAGAAAGCTAATATCTCTAGTACATATGAGAAATATTTAATTTGAAGTGTCCCATACTATTTCAAAGTTGAGATTCCCATAGTTGCTGTAGTGTCTGTCTAACGTAAAAGTGTATTGTACCTATTACCATAAGACATTTAGAAGTTTAATTGAAAAATTATTACATATTTTGCAAGAAAGTTATAGTCTTATTTTTGCACTTCTGCCCTATTTTCCTGATGAACTGTTTGTAATTACACAGTACATTATTTTCGTGAAATCATTTATTAAGCATCCAGTATGAAAAAGGGGCCTGACAAATATTTGAGAACTACAATAATTAATAGTGATTTAGTGCCTGGTACTAATAGTATGGTTTAACAGAAAAAACAAGAAAGCTGAATATGCTGGACTAACAAAGAGCTAATATTTGATTCAGTATATATTGTATAAGTGCTGAAAGATTTTGCTGAAAAAATAATTTGATGAACTTCAATGCCAAGCATGCCAAACTGCACTGTTCAGCCTATATTCGCCAAGAGAAGGGATAACCTGAAGGTCCTTGAGGAGGAAAAAATAAAAATAAAAGAGCGAAAAGCATAATCAGAAATACACTTTAAGAGGAATAATTCACATTTAAGTGAATTTAGCCTTTCGGAGAGTGGACAGGAAGAAAGAGTGGAAAGTAGAGAGAATAATAATGAAGAAGAAATCATTTAAAAAGTAAATTCAACTGACTATAAAAATTAACATTTATATGTATTAAACTTAAATGACCAATTGTTGTCACTTTCTTTTCTACTATGCCACTTTTATTAGACTATAAGCTTCTCTTCCAAACAATAATATCCTTTTTATGTTTTCATTTCCTATAACTAGACAAAATCTGGCGAAGAGTAAATGCCTATAAAATGTTTGTAAAGTGAACTGAGGGAGGAGAACGAAAATAATGTGTTTGAAATTTTAAATTTAAATGAACATGAAAGTGGAAATAATGCAAATATTCTTTGATAACAAAAGGTAGAGCAAGAAATGATCATTTGAAATCAAATAGTGCTTACTCAGATCCTGGGGATGCTTTGTAACTCTGGTGTATTGTATGTGTCTTAATATTATAGGCAACAATTTTTGTGAGCCAAATGTGTTGATAAATGTGAAATACATAGGTGTGCAATGAGTATATTGTTTCCTAGTGGTGAAAATGGAGCCAAGATGAAATGATCTGTCAAAAATTTGATTGATTGATTGATTGATTATTTTTCTAATTCTCCCAGTAGCCTTTTTACTAATTTTTAATTTTCAATTTTTGTGGGTATCATAATAGGTGTATGTATGTGTAGGGTACATGAGATATTTTGATACATGCATGCAATGTGTAATAGTAACATCATGGTAAACTGAGTATCTATCCCTTTAAGCATCTATCCTTTGTGTTACAATCCAATTATAGACTTTTATTTTAAAATGTATAATTAAATTATGATTGGCTGCAGTCACCCTGTTATGCTACCAAATGCTAGGTCATATTCATTCTTTCTAATTACTTTTTGTACCTATTAACTGACCCATTTTCCTCCCACACCTCCCCTTATTCTTCCCAGGCTCTAGTAACCATCCTTCTACTCTCTATCTCCATGAGTTCAATTGTTCTAACTTTTAGCTACCACCAATAAGTGAGAACACATGAAGCTTGCTTTTTTGTAGAAAATTTTAGAACAAAAATGTTCTTAACAGCCAGGACAGATCTCTCTCATTGCCTCTGTCCTCTTACACCACTGCAATAGTTACTCAATAAATATTAGATGATCAAATTTTTCTGCAAGAACTAAGATTTAACAAGAAACAATAAATAACACCAACTTATTAAAATAAAATTAATTTATTTTTCTTTGTAATGGAATTTTAAGCCACATTGAGAAAATGGACTAACTTTCACCATGAATTTTAATGATTTTTAACAAAATAAATACTCTCATGAAACTGCTACTCAGGTGATGAAACAAATCAATGAAATCACTGATGAAATTAAAAACCAATCTCTCCTTCCTAAAGTTAACTGTCATTTAGATGTTGAACTATTTAAGTTTTGCCCATATTTTGAAATGTATTAAAATGGAATCTCACTGTTTGTGTTTTTATTTCTTTTCTTTGAAGTGTGGGTCTCTGGCTCAATTTTATGTTTTTGAGATTCAATTAATGTTTTTGTATACCTGTAATAAATACCTTTTCTTTATTGCTGTATGGCATCGTGTAAATGTAATGCTAATAGAAGTTTAAGGTCTTTCAAACTTAAGGCCATTACAAATTATGCTGCTGTGAAAATATATACTTTTTGGTGCAAAGGCACACTCATTTTGTTGGTAACATAAACCTAGATATTAAAATATTGGATTTCATAATATGTTTATGTTGAATGTTACAAGATTATACTAACCAGTTTTATAAAGTAGTTTTATGAATTTATATTCCCAGTAACAACTAGAAGTTCTCATTGCTCCATATTCTCACCAACATGTTATTGTCATTGGATATATGATATTATGTTATCGCAGATTTAATTTGCATTTTCCTGAAGACTGGTGGTATTGAAACTCTTCATAAATATATTTGGTATTGCATATTATTTTTATAAAGTTTTGTTCAAATAATTTTGTTGTCTGTATTTTAATTAGTGATGTGTAAGAAGGTTTTTAAAATTAGCCCTTTGCTTTTTTAGGGGAAGATAATGAAAATATTTTCTTTCAATGTAGGTCATACACTTTTACTCTCTCGAAAGTGACTTTTGATGAATATTGAAATAAAAGCAAGTGTGTTGGTGTGTTCATTATACTACATCCATTTTTGCTTTGTTTAATAATAAATTATTGTTTATTTCAATATCAGAAAATAGTTTTCTTTGCTAGTTTCTAGAAGCTGCATAGTCTTGTTTCTCACATTTGGATATACTTCTCTCTATAAATATTTTTTGTATATGCATGTGGTGAGAGAAATAAATCAAATGTATTTGTTTTGAGTGCAAAATTACCAGAGCCATTTATTGAAGACTCTTCTTTCTATAATACTATGCAGTAGCACTTTTGTGTTACAACTTCTATTTATATATGAGGGTCTGTTCCTTGCTGTTCTTTCCTATTTGATTAATTATTCCTATAAGAAATATGTAGTCTTATTTAGTACAGTTTCTTGCTAACTTTTAGTATCTAATAGAGTAATATAGCCAAGTTTTCAGAATTGTCTTGTACATTGTTTTCCCTTAACTGCTTTATTCAATTTTGGTTTTTCTTTCTTGAGTCAGAAAATTCTGACTCAAAAGTAGGTAACTTTTTCACCTATTTCTATATTTATCACTAGATATTTTTATGCTATACAATTGATTTTTATACATTTACTTTGTCCCCAGCACTTTTATAAGCATATTTTCTAATTCTAATAATGTACCTGATTATGTTTTGGAGTTGCTCTGTACATAATTATGTTACCCCCAAAAGAATATTACAATCAACCTATTCGTTGATTTGCGCAAAGGAAAAAGCCCTGTGGGTATTTGGACTGGGAATTGCATCAAAACAATAGATCAGTTCCCAGAGAAAATGTTATATAATAATATTTTGCAAACATTAACATTGTACATTTCTATTTTAAGGTCTTAATTTTTTCAGAATGTTTTGTAATTTTGAATGTAGTGGTCACACATGTGTGTAATTAAATTCATTCTTAGCTGTGTGATGCTTGTTTACATTATTGTAAATTGTATTTTTTCTTAATTCATTTTTCAGTATGTATGTTCCTGACATGTACATATATAATTGATTTTGGTGAATTTATCTTGTTTTCCATGACATCCCTGGATTTAGGTGCTAGTTCTAGCAGGTTTTTTTTTTATATTCCTTTGGATTTTCTAAGTATAGTATTTGAAAATAAGTATAATTTTACTTCTTTTTCCTTAATTCTTATATCTCAAATACTTTTTCTTATATTATTGTACTGAGTAGGATCTTCAGTACAATATTGATTAGAAGTGGTAAGAGTAGGTAACTTTGCCCTTGCCCCTAATTTTAGGGGATTAAACTCGATATTTCACTCTTAAATGTGATAGTAGCTATGAGTTTTTCATGAATACAATTTTTCATATTGAGAGTTTCTTTGTGTTGATCGTTTGTTGAGAATTTTGCCATGAATAATTGTTGAATAACATCAAATGCTTTCTCTATATCTACTTAAGTGATCAAATAAATATTTTAAGTTTTATAATAAGATGAATTATCTATTTCTTGATGTTTCAATGTTAAGCAATCCTTGTATTTCTGGAATAAATCCCACATAATCATGATGGATTACCTTTTATTATTAATGCCAGATATAATTGACTAGTATTTCTTGAAGGATGTTTGCAACTATGTTTATGAGTGTTGCTGCTCTGTAGTCTTGTCATAATGGCCTTATCAATGTTTGATTACCAGTTTATATTGGCTTCATCAAATTGGTTGAATATATTCTCTTTCCCTTTATTCTATGAAAAAGTATTGAAAATTGGTACTGCTTCTTTCTTAAATATATTGTGGAACTCACCAGTGACTGCTTTACTATTGAAACACTCATTGTGGTAAGATTTTAGATTATAAATTTAACTGCATTATTTAATACAGTATTATTCATATTTATCTTTTCTTTTAGAGCAGTTTTTGTAATTTTTGATATCAAGGAATTTGTCTATATACATGAAGTTGTTCAAGTTATCAACATAAAGTTGCTCTATATATGTCTTTAAAACCCTTATACTGTAAATAGTTCTCTTACAAGATTGTGTTTCATTTCTAGTGCTAAAAATCTGAGGTTTTTTAAGCAGTAATGTATACATTTATATATTTAAGGAATCCTTTTAAATAAATATAATTTAAATTAGTTGACTTCTAATGTCTGTCTCTATTATTATTGTTTTATATATCTCTTTCTTTCATGTTATTAGCTTTAATGTTTCCTTTCTTCTTTACGCTTTAGTGCTAAAAGCTTAGTGAGTTAATTTTTTAACATGTTTTAACATTATCAAATTCTGCAAGTTTGTCTGTATTATGGTTTTGTTAAAGTATTTCCTAGTATGATTGTTATTTCTCTTGCATTCCATGATTTATTAGCAGGCATGCTGATTAATTTCCAAATATTTGGCCATTTTCTATATATGTTTTCATTTATTTATAATTCAGTATTTTATGGTCCAAAATACACGCTGTGATTTTTGCCATTTGCAATTTATTAACAACTGTTGAATGAAACAGAATGTGATCCAATTTGGTAAATATTCCATGTGTATTTGAGAAGAATGTGGATTCTGCATTTTTGTATAGTGTTTGTAAGTAATCATTTTGGTCCAGTTCATTAAAAGAGCTATTTCAATCTTCCATATCCCTACTAAGTTTCATTTTATTTTGTTTTGTGTATCTAATCTTTCAAGATCTAACAGAAGTGTCTAAAATCTTTAAATATGATTGTGAAGTTCTATATATTTTTATTAGATATTTCAATTATTTTTCAGTTGTGTATTTTAAAGCTATACTATGAGGTTTCATACATTTATGAGCTTATGTCTTTCTGATTTATTTATATTTTTATCATCATAAAAAATGCTGTCTTTAGTGGCAGGAATAATCCATGTCTTTACGTTTACTTTGATAATGTTAACAAAACATTATTACTTTTTTATGATTACAATTTGCATGCTTCAAAATCTTTTTATTTTAAAACTGGGTCTTTATATCTAAAACATTGCTTAGAGTTAGCCTATAACTGGAAAGTTGTTGATTTGTTTGAAAAAACACGTCTGAAAAAAATTTCTGTTAAACTGAGTGTTTAGACTATTTGCCTAAGATACTTAATATGGTTGGGTTTAACTTTGCTATCTTGATACTTGTTTTATTTTTTCTTCACTTGTTCCCTCTTATTTTTTTTTACTTTTTTGGCCTTCATTTGGGTTATTTGAGCATATTTTAGAATTTAATTTTATTTTTTATTGGATTTTTATTTTAGTGATTGATCTAGGGTTTAGAATGTTATTAAATTATATATTAAATTGATATTTCATCACCAGATGTATGAAGAAACTTAACTTAGCATATACCACTTATCTGCCACCATCTCACTGTGTTAACGTGGTCATTTGCTTTACTCATATGTGTGTTATGAACCTCACCATAAATTATGTCCTTTTTGACTTAAAGATAAAATGACTATATAAATGAATACCTAATAATAATCTTGAATACTTAACAATATGTTTATTACATTTAGTGTTCTTTCTTTATTTTTAAGTGTCAAATTCCCATTGGAATATTATTTATTCAACCTGAAAACTTCCTTTAATGTTTCTTTTTATATATATATTTTTTATTATACTTTAAGTTTTTAGGGCTGAAGACAAACTATCTCAACTTTAAGTTGTCTAGGACAGTCATTTTTCACCTTATTTTTTGATGAAATTTTAGGCTGGATATAGAAATATACATTGATAGGGCTTTTTTGTTTAGTACTTTAAAGGTGGCATTTCTTTGTCTTCTAGATTTTATCACTTTATTTTCATCTTTAGCTTGCTAAAATGTTATTATGATGTGTTATATTTCATCTTCCTTGTAAATAGTCTGTCAGTGATTTGCTAAGGTTCTTGGATCTTTGAGTTTCTGTTATTCATCAGATTTGGAAAAATTGGGAAAATATTAGTCTTTGTTTCTTCAAATGATTATGCTGCTTGTTATTTTTGACTTATTTTCCTGTGACAAAAAATGTGATATATTAAAATCTTAAATTTGTCCCATATGTCTCGAAAAGTTTGTTGACTTGAATTCCTCCAAGGAATTATGCAACATATATGTGTGCATTCATTCACATTTTATATTTTATATATGTATATGTGTGTTAGTTCACTTATCAAGTTTCTTATTCTCTCCCTATATTTACCTATACATGTATTCTACTGATCTTATGCTTTCTTATACTTATAAGACCTCATTTCTAAATCCATTACTTTTGTTATATGTTGTTCTGATTCAATTGAGTTTTTTTCTATTGCTACATTTTTCACTTTCCTGCTTCTTCACATGTTAATTGGATTATTTTTTAAATTATACTAAATTGTGTAGAGACTCTAGATTATTTTATCTTTTTTCTTTTTTTTTTTTCACAGGGCTTCTCTCTGTCTCCCAAGCTGGAGTGCAGTGGCGTGATCTCGGCTCACTGCAACATTTGCCTCCTGGGTTCAAACAAATCTTCTACCTTAGCCTTCCGAGTAGCTGGGATTACAGGTGCACACTACCACATTCAGCTAATTTTTATATTTTTAGTAGAAATGGGGCTTCACCATGTTGGACAGGCTGATCTAGAACTCCTGACCTCAGGTGATCCGCCTGCCTTGGCCTCCCAAAATTTTATATTCTTTTAAAGAGTCTTAAATTCTGTTTAGACAGTTAAATTACCAGATCACCTTCCTTCCTTGCTTCTCCAGGCTGGAGTGCAGTGGCACAATCATAGTTCACTGCAACCTCAAACTCCTGGACTTAAGTGATTCTCCCATCTCAGACTCCTGAGTAGCTAGGACTACAAGTGTAAGCCAACATAAAAAATAAAATAATTTTTTATTTTTATTTTTTTGTAGAGACAGGGTCTTGCTATGCGGCCCAGGCTCCACCTTGCTTCAGTAAATGCTTTGATTTAGTCTGAGTTGGCGTCATTACTCCTAAGACATGAAGTTTTTGGAGTCTGAATTTGGGTGTTACCTTTATATCCAGGATATTCAATAAAATTTCGGTACTCTGGATTAGTCGGTACTTCACCATTTTTTTTTTTACACTCAGTAATCGAGATTCTAAGACCTGCCTCTGCAAGTTTCGACCTTCTACATAATTCTAAAGTTAAACTTATTTTTCTGTACCAAATGAGACTGCCAATCTCTATTTGGGCCCCATTTATACACAGAATTATGGAAATTTTGTCAAGCTAAATGCTGGGAAACTGAAGCTTGGCTTATGAGCTTCCTTGTTCTCAAGAATCACCTCTCTGTGCTGAAAACACTTCTTTCCAATATTTTGCACAATTTTTCATTTCTTTACAGCAGAAGAATAAGTCTAATCCCAACTACTAAGTCTAATCCCACAATGACTGATATCAAAAATTATTATAAATTTATTTTATATCACCTTAAAAATATGTAAGAAGCAATTATCTTTGAGAAAATGTATCAATCATTGCAATTTACAATCATCAAATTACCTTCTAAAATCTTCTATATTATCAAAAACATAATAATAGGCTTAATTCTTATACTCTGGAAAAAACACAGTCCTAGACGATATCTCTCTGTACATATATTTTCAAGATCAAAGAAAAAAGTTTGTGGTCTCCACTAATGGTATAAAATAATAATTAATGCATCCAATACTCCACACTCATTTTTCTCCTTTTCTAGTCTCCGGACACTATAATCTATTGAACTACATACGTATATACCCATGAAATGCATAGAGTTATAGATCTCTGCCACTTTTATATGCTTAATATATTCTCCTGCATACGTATATATCCTTGAAGGGCATAAAATGTTACTTATAAATATTAAAAACCTTCAATTAATCTTTCCAGTACTCACCTTTATATTCCCAAACTGATACTCTTATCTTAAAAAGACTCTGACAATTAATCGTTAGCATCACTGTCTTGTTTAGAATTTTCATGTTATTTATATGACAAAATATTTTCACAACTGAAAAATAAAACAAATTATATCAGTAGTCATAATATTATTTATGTTTACAATATTAACACAAAATCATATGATTGCTTCATATATGCCACGTTAAGGGATTTGCTTTGTCATATAGAAACTTGATGACAGAGTCAGGATACAAATTGAGCTAGTCTGACTCTACATGTATTTTAATTCTATAGAGACATAAGTGGACTATTTTTTTCCTTTCAGATTTTTTTAAAAAAGAAATATATGTTTTTAAATGACATCCTACATTTTACTTGGAAATCTGAATTGTGAGTTTAGGCACTTAAATATATTCATTTTTATGTAATCAAATATTTTGAGTTTTTGTAGTAGCTACATTAAAGATTCATAGAAATGTCCTCCAAGATGACTTTGTAATTGATATCCTTTATATTCTAGTAAGAAATAGGATTCTTTCCTTCCACGTACAGCAAAAGTGATGAACTATGTCATCACTTAAAAATATATCATATTTTCTTATCTGCCTGACAGTATTTTTTCCAGTTGCATTGCACAATATCAGATTATGGTGATAGAGCAGCATTAAGACAGTATTAAACACCAAACATCAAATATGCCTTTCTTGAATATGGTACCATACTTCTGCTTCAAAGTATGACTATTATTGGTAATAATAGAATTATGCGTTTACAATGATATGTAATATAGTTGTAACTCCATTGAGAAATACCTGTCTTATCATAATCTGTAAATCACATAAAAGCCAAAAGGTAAAGAAGGAAAACAGGTTGGTACCAAGGATGGAGAAATCAAATAATTCATAACACTTATTTTGAAGATATAGACAAAAATATTCTTATTCCTTTCCATGTATTCCTTCAGTCCTGGTCTTGGTGCTCTTACCTACTTCTTTTATAGCATTTAAGAGTATGCTACTCAAAGTGTTTTCATTTAACCTCAAAATATTAACACTTAATGAAGCTTCACAAATTGTATTAATATGGATAAATAGTAAAGGCAGGTTTAGACATCATACATAAAAGAACAGATAATTTAGTAGTTCCGAAAATGGGCAAATGGGTAACAGTGCAAAAGAATGAGGGATAAGAAATTACTATTACCAAAGTGAATTATGGCAGAATAAATGTGTGACTTGAAATTAATTTTAACACAAATAATTCACAACATGAAAATGCCCACAGTGTAACACACACTGAGTTTATGAACACGAATATATAATGTCACTTCATGGACTTGAAGTCAAGAGTCTTACAATTTATTTCTATCATCACAGTTTCCCATAAAAGGGGACATTTTCATTTTCACACTCTATTCCATTTCACTGACATATTATTTCCATTGTGTCTCTCTTCCAAAAATGCAGACCTTCCAACTTTTCTTCAAACTTTTGGAACCAGTTTAATTACAAATTGGATCCTAATTGGACCCATTAGGTTGCTTCAGACTTATGTTATTATTGAGTATAAGCTTATTAGAAATAAAATATTTTAAAGAAAAATACTTTTTCATTATTTTCAAATAATGAAAATATTTGCATTTGAAATAAGGATATTTTTCCCATCCCCAAAGCTGCTTTATGCTACTAAATTTTGCATTTTATCACCAAGTCTTTAATATCAGTTGGGCATTATCTGTCAGTTATAATAGATTATAAATATTCTCAGAACATAACATTAATAGCAAGAGGAGTGGCCAGAGTACACCACATAATACCAAATATACGTATTTCACACAGAATGATGTGTGAGCTGAGTGAGCTGTAGCATATGCTTAGAGGTCTGCTGCCTGAGAATATCTAGTAATGCGTTGCATTTTCACTTGCTGAGACTTTAAATCAGCAGTCACAGAATTGCAAAATCTATGTACAAAAAAGATGCTCTAAGAGCATATATTTTGAAAACAATATTTTAAAGAAAGCAGTTCTATAACTAACCGGCTCTGGATAGTAACATATGTCATTTTATATGTTAAATAGGCTTGGTATATTTATACCTTGCCAATAATTAATGGATATCTTCATAATTTGGAGTTTTACCTAAGAAACCCTCTAGAAAGAGTACATTACTATACCTAGTAAGAACATAGAGAATATTCAGTGAAAATACAGATTCAGGATCTGAAAGTCTGAATCCTTCACTCGTATGCTGTGATACCTTGGGAAAGTTACTGAATTTTTCTGCGATTTATTTTCTTTTATGTAAACCAAGCTGGGTGGGGATTAGTGCCCTTTGTTTTATGTACTTCACATAATTATTTGAAGATTAAATAATTGTTAAGTGTTTGAAATAGCACCTGGCATATACTAAGCACCCTGTTCACGTTTGCCATCACAGAAGAGTAAGTTTTGTGTCATTATTTATTTTAAATAATATAATATAAAAGTGAGAAACCATTTGCTATCATCTGTGACATGTCCAAATCTGGCATGTTAGTGGCACATAGCCATGACTTGACACCACTAAAATTCCTGTTTTTAAAGGCATGTTCACAAGTTCATTAACAATCATGATGGCCGGGCGCGGTGGCTCACGCCTGTAATCCCAGCACTTTGGGAGGCCGAGGCGGGCGGATCACGAGGTCAGGAGATCGAGACCATCCCGGCTAAAACGGTGAAACCCCGTCTCTACTAAAAATACAAAAAATTAGCCGGGCGTAGTGGTGGGCGCCTGTAGTCCCAGCTACTTGGGAGGCTGAGGCAGGAGAATGGCGTGAACCCGGGAGGCGGAGCTTGCAGTGAGCCGAGATCCCGCCACTGCACTCCAGCCTGGGCGACAGAGCGAGACTCTGTCTCAAAAAAAAAGAAAAAAAAAAAAAAAAACAATCATGATGTATGGATTTTTTTTTTTACTTCAGTGTTTTTTACTGAAAATTTTATATGAAATAGAATGTAAGTGCTAGGAGACACAAATTCCCAATCTGATCACCAACTTACTTAACAAATCTAACTCATTTATTATAAACACAGAGATGGAAACTATAACTACAAAAATGACAAAGAAGGATGTTATATACTGCCACTTATTTCAAGCTTCTAGGCTAAATGGGCTACAATTCTGATTCATGCGAGAAATTTCAAGAGAACAGTCTCCAAAGATGAAAAATATGCCAAAAGCTTTTCTCACTTATGATATGCCATTGAGAGGATAAACAGTCCATGGTGTATTAATTTTCGATGGTTGTAACATAGATGTTTGTTAGCCAAACTGGGATTTAATGCCCATTAGAGGTGATAGATTAATGGTTCTGAAACATCACATCATCTGTGTATTCATAGAGAAGGTAATGAAGGTAATAGCTTTCATCTATTCTATATAACGCATCTTGTATACAAGTATCCCAGAGTTGTTTATACACTACATTATATCCTATTTTCTTGGTTTACTGATTTTTAAAAAAACTATTTTGTTTTACTATTTCTGGTGATTATTTTCAGCAGCAGATATCAAAAACATTTCCAAGCCATTCCTGCTTATGATAATTATTTCTCCTTTTGCCAAAATATATTGGCATTACTTATGAAATATTTACTACATGAAGACCATGTATTACATATATTAGTAATCTTTCTTTCCGATTTTTATAATGTATCATTCTCAAATTTAAGTTGCCATTGGTTCTGATTAATATCATTATTGTACATAGTGTTAAAAATAAAGGGAACAAACACCAACGTCATCAATTAAAACCAAACAAGCTGTAAAATATAGGACACATTCATGTTTCTGATGAAGTGTGAAAACATTTGGATTGCAAAATTGATAAAGTATATTATTTGATTTTTCAGAATCATGGTAAAATGATTATTTTAGAATTATTCATAGCAGTTCCTAAAATTCCTGCTTGTCTGTGCAAGTCCTATAATTAGGTTAAACTTACATTATTCTGCACAAAATAAACAGGTAAATGTTTGTCGTGTAGGGATGGAGAAAACAGGCATATTGTCAAACATTTTCTAGACCAGACAACTTTATAACACTAAGCGTTTAGAGTATATTTAGACTTATGAACATTGAACTAAAATTCGTTAAGTCTCAACTGAAAAAATTTCAGCAAATATTATCTCTTTTGGACTCCAAGTTAAGTTATTCTAGGAAGTAATGATATGCAATGACCATAAACTAACAAACCCTTGGTTTGGGTTCTTCTAATACTGCATTTTATCACAAAAGGGACTATATTTAGTTTATCCTAAATCCCACACTTTTTGGTATGATTAACTGAGTTCAAATGCTATGTTTGAGAAGTGTGTATGTACATGTATCTTTGTAAAGAAGTACATGGGAAGAAGGAGAGGAAATTTCCAAATACAATAAATACAATCTTGCTACATGCTTTAAATATAATGTGAGTGTGAGGGGCCCAGAAGTTAGTTGACAAACATTTGCAGGGATTAAATTAGAATAATGTAGTTCTTGTCAATTATAGGTAGGATGATAAGAGAGTAAGAGAAGAAAATGTGGATTTTGTTATGATTTTTAGTGCATGAAAGGAAAAATCCTATTGCCCTTCAAGAATAAAACTAGACCAAAAACTTTTTGTTAACTACTTAATCAAGTAGTTAACTTGATTCTATAACTTTACGTTGCACAGAACCTACACATTCTATCGAAAACTACCAGTCTAGAGATGCCCAACTCATAAAACCAGAGATGGCTTATAACAAGACTATTCAACGAAGGTGATGTGAGAGACTAAGGTGAAGTGATGTGATCGGTTTTGGCTAAATGAGACATAAGCAGGTTCAGCTGGCTTTGCTTGGGGTTTATACCCAGAAATATGGAAGGAAAACATATGGTTTGGAGAAGCATATTAAATCAGGTATATCTTAATAAAAATTTTTTTGAACTATGCTAGTCATCAGTGCTACCTCTGACCCTAAAAGCTTAGCTTTCCAGGGCCCGCCATATATCCATAAAATAAGATTACAAACTGCTTGAGAAAGTCAGCATGATCTTTTGTAGCAACACACAGTGTGTTCTCAGAACATTGACAGATAATACAAATATATATAAGTAACAAAACAAGATATGAATCCTGTGTTCCAAGAACTTTATGCTTCCAGAGGAAGGGCAAAACTAAAAGCATGAAGTATAAAACACTTTTAATAAAAAATACAAAATATTCTGATATACTTTGTTTAATATTTATTTATATATTCTGTGTGAGTTTAGAAGGATAGGGATCAACAAAGATTACAGCATTTATATTTTCATGGGAATAAATGAGACAGAGGTGAGATTTAAATGGTATATGATAGAGATAACAATGGAGAGAAAAGCATTCTTGATAATGATGTGATGGTCATTGAATGGCAGTTTATGGGGCAGTGTGGAGACCCTCATGAATGAACACATTAGAAATCAGGGTAAAATGAAGACGATGAGGTTAGGGAGTATTTTTGTCTAAAAACCAAGCGACAAGTTTAGGCTGGTGAATTAGTAGCTAAAAGGCTTTTAAAGCTTTATTTGTTCATTTCTGTGTTTATGCCTTTAGAAGAAAAACTGTTGCATGATGAAAGCCATGTTTTAAGAAGGTTCACCGCTGACAACTAGGCTTCTATCTTATTATGAAGAGTCAGGATTGCAAAGGTGAAGAAAGCTTTGGTGCTGAAATGAGGTATTAATCTTATCATCAAGATTATGCCCCCAATTAGCTAGCCAATTAGTTGCCCCATAAGTGATCCCTATTTGTTTTAAGGGACTCGACAATACATTCACTCCACTGATTCTCCTTTTCCTAGATTCTAGGTCTTTCTTCTACTATTTCTATGGTAAGAAATCATCCATCTGATTTTAGATTTTTGTGATGCCACAGGTTGGACTTTGAAATCTGTGAGCTTTGATTGTTGAGATTAATCACTACCTCCAGTTGGATCCTTTTGACCAAACACTTGCCTGTTATATTCTTATACTGTTATCTTTCATATACTCCACGCTATCTTTAGGAATAAGACCTGAACCTTTCCAGTTTCAGCACCTCCATAACACTGCCCTTTCTTGTTGGAATAACTTAATTTGTCCCAGTTTTCCCATCAGACACTCTCACTTCTTAATATAAACATAATGGCTGTATTTTTAAAGTTTAAACTATTCTTTAAATGACAAAAAATGGAGCTATCTTGAGAAGAAAAATATTCTAGCCGAAAAGAAAACTATATGGCAAATTCTACTGTAACAATAGAATTGAATTAAGCACAGGGTCCACATGTAATTTGTGGTGCAAATGTAATTTTGGCGAGTAGATATGTATGTGATCATAATTTTGTTTTGCTAATGAACATTCCCTTTCTGATGATATTACAGGCATGGATGGAATGAATATGCCATATACCCCTATATCAAAGAATTTAGAGAAGGATGCACTCATAGACTGCTGCTACTGGTGAAAACTTAGTATGCCAATAAGAGACACTGCTGCTGGGGAGTTCTGTGTATAGTTTGTCTCAGAAAAACAAGTCCAAATGGGCAATAAATTTCAACCTTATGCCTTCTGAAATGGCTAGATCACTAAGCTGTTTTACTCATCCAGGGAAAGTTATGTCAATTTTGATAGGGAGGCAAAGTAGCAATTTTAAATTATACTTAGGGTGACAATGTAGTTTATATTTTCACCTGGGAATTTTTTTAGAGTATTAAGTGTGAATAATTAATTATATATTTATTTCAGAACAACAGGCATAGATATCTAAGACAGTCCTGGTAGAATAAGGGTATATTATCATACTACTTATACTGCATCTGAATGACTGATTAAAAGAATACTTAGATGATGGTCATTAATGAAATAGCATTAGATCCAGTGGACAAATCTTACAGAAATGATTATATTTAAACTATTGGCCAGGCACAGTGGCTCACGCTTGTAATCCCAGCACTGTGGGAGGCTGAGGAGTGTGGATCGCCTGAGCTCAGGAGTTCAAGACCAGACTGGGCAACATACATCTCTACAAAAAACAAAAACAAAAAAAAATTTAGCCAGGTGTGGTGGCGCATGCTTGTAATCCCAGCTACTCGGGATGCTAAGGCAGAAGAATTGTTTGAACCTGGGAGGCAGAGGTTGCAGTGAGCTAAGATCATGCTATTGCACTCCAGCCTGGGTGACAAAGCGAGATTCCATCTCAAAAAAAAAAAAAAAAAATCTATCAATCTATTCATTCTCAAATGCACCACAAATTTTTCTAATATTTTTTCTTGCAATTCAAAGTAAAATATGGGGGCAAGTGAGTTTCCATAAAAACTTCAGCATATGTATCATTTACTGATCTTCAAAGCTAATTCATAGTATTTATCTCTTTATGTAAACTTTACATACAATGAAAAGCTCAAATATTAACTGTATGTTGGCTAAGTATTGACAGATGCTCAATAGTAAATGTATGCTTAAATGTTCAAATATTAAACATATATTGCTCAAATATTAAATGTATATTGGCTAAGCTTCCTGGCGCCATGATGTTCCCCAGTGCCAGCTGTCAAAGCTGCTTGCAGGACGCCTGGTCCAGCCACAGCCTCACAGGGAGTCAACGCCCGTGCCAGCACCTGGAGCTGCCCGTCCTGCCACAACCAGCATGCCTGGTTGTGCACAGTGGTGAGACCCCATGCTCATTCGCTCACACATCCTTTGCTGCTACACTCACCATTGCCAGGCATGGGATTCAGGCTGGTGGCATGAGCTGAGCGCAGGTTGCCAGACTGAGTGGGCCCAGCAGACCCAAGCAAAACTCAGGCAAAAGTGCCACTGGCCACAGAGGTTTTCAGCTGTTGAAGTGACAACCCAAGGATCCCGTTACAGTAACACAATGATATTTGTGTATCTAAACATACAAAAGTCACAGTATGAATATGATATAAAAGGTGAAAAAATATATACTTGTATAAAACACCATAAATAAAGCATTCAGGACTAGAAGTTGCTCTGAGTGAGTTAGTGAGTGGTAGTGAGTGACTATGAAGGCCTAAGATATTACTGAGCACTAACTTTATATTTCATAAACACTGTACACTGGCTACACTAAATCTAGTTTTAAAAATTCTTTAGTAATAAATTAACCTTACCTTACTATAACTTTGGTACTTTATAATTTTTAAAAATATTTCTAACTTTTTCACTCTATTTTAATAACAGAGCTTAAAACACAAACACATCGTACAGCTGGACAAAAATGTTTTCTTTCTTTATATCTTTATATAAGGCTTTTCCTATTTGTATTTCTTTTTTTTTTTTGCTTTTTAAAATTTTTTGTTAAAAACTAAGACACAAACACACACTTTAGCCAAAGCCTATACAAGGTCAAGATCATCAGGACATTACTAGGGGACAGGAATTTTTTTTTTTTAGAGTGAGACAGAGTCTCACTCTGTCGCCCAGGCTGGAGTGCAGTGGCACGATATCGGCTTACTGCAAGCTCCACCTCCAGGGTTCAGGCCATTCTCCGCCTCAGCCTCCCGAGTAGCTGAGACTACAGGTGCCCGCCACCATGCCCGGCTAATTTTTTTTTTTTTTTTGTATTTTTAGTAGAGAGGGAGTTTTACCGTGTTAGCCAGGATGGTCTCCATCTCCTCACCTTGTGATCCACCCGCCTCCCAAAGTGCTGGGATTACAGGCGTGAGCCACCGCACCTGGCCAGGAATTTTTTATCTCCATTGTAATCCTACCGGTTCACTGTGATATATGCTGTCCATCATTAACTGAAACATTGGTATGTGGTACATGACTATATTAATTTGCTTCATAGCTTCTGATATTTGACATTGAATATTAAAAGTTGTTAACCTTAAAGAAGAGAAATATAATATGATAAAGGAAGCATTTAAGCATCCTGTTTAAGTATTTTTATTTTTCTGAAAGAAAATCTCTCCATTTGAATAATTCCAAGTTTCAATGTTTGAATATAGAGAAAAGCAATTTTCACATATTCTTTCAATAACACATTTTTCGCCAGAATCCTACATTTAATTTCAGATATTTGCAAACAGAATTGTTTTCTGTTAACTTTATTTTTCTTGTGTGCCTATTATGGTTATTTCTGAAAGAGTACAAAACATTTTCTTCAGGATATCTCTACATGCATGTGTGGATATTTATTTCTCGTGGCCATAACTAGTATTAACTTCACAATATTCCAAATGTCAGTTTTCTATTTTAGACCTACAGCAAACAGTTCTTAATTATGATCAATTTTAGACAATGGAAGGTCACTGATAAATGGCAATAAGAGTTGTCATATTTTATGAGAAACACTTTACATGAATTATCTCATTTAGTTCTCACAATAACCTTAGGAAATTAAAATGGTGTTGTTGTTGTTACTTTGTTTTTGAGACAGAGTCTAGCTCTGTCACCCAGGCTGGAGTCCAATGGCACCATCTCGGCTGATGCAACCTCTGCCTCCCGGGTTTAAGCAATTCTCCCACCCCAGCCTCCCGAGCAGCTGGGATCATAGGCGTGCACCACCACACCAGGCTCATTTTTGCATTTTTTAGTAGCAACTTTTGCCATGTTGGCCAGGCTGGTCTGGAACTCCTGACCTCAAGTGATCTGCCCTCCTCGGCATCCCAAAGTGCTGGGATTACAGGCATGAGCCACAGTCCCTGGCCTTAAAACTGTTTTCAAGACACTTTTCCAAATGAAACAATTGACACTAACGAAAGATGAAGTAGGCTGGTGCAGTGGCTCATTTCAGTGATCTCATCACTTTGGGAGTCTATGACAGGAGGATCGTTTGTGACCATAATTTTGAAACCCAGACTAAGGAACATAGTGAGACCCTGACACTACAAAAAAATTTAAAAATTAGCCAAGTGTGGTGATACATGCTTATAGTCCTAGGTATTTGAGAGGCTGAGGAGGGAGGATCTCTTGAACCCAGGAGTTCAAGGCTGCAGTGAGCTGTGATCGCACCACTCCACTCTAGCCTGGGAGACAATGAAACTGTACCTCAAAAAAGCAATAATAACAAAAAATGAAGCAACTGTCCCAATGATACACAATATATCTCTAAGATTAAGGGAAATCTCTCTTCTTCAATTTCAAATGAGGATTAAGGACAGTATGTAATAGAGGCTGAGCATGGTGGCTCTTGTCTGTAATCCCAACACTTTGGGAGGCTGAGGTGGGCGGATCACCTGAGGTTAAGAGTTCAAGACCAGCCTGGCCAACATGGTGAAACCCTATCTCTACTAAAAATATGAAAACTAGCCAGGCATGGTGGCAGGCAGCTGTAATCCCAGCTACTTGGGAGTCTGAGGCAGTAGAATCGCTTGAACCCAGAAGGCAGAGGTTGCAGTGAGCTGAGATAATGCCACTGCACTCCAGCCTGGGTGACAGAGAGAGACTCCATCTCAAAAATAAATAAATATATAAATTTTTAAAAAGACAGTATGTAATAAAGATGTGAGTTAAAGGGTTAGCATTTGTGCATTGATGAGGATAACTAATCTTGACCTCAATATCTTAGTGTTCTTAAAGAATATGTATTAAATTTGGCATTTATAGAGACAGAGAGAAAATGTATGTAAGAAAGAAAATGAGCCTTAGGAATGTTATATGAACTGATATTAAGGTTATAGTCACATTCATGGAGACAATAACATATCAATAATCAGATGTATGTGGGAGAGAATCATATTGAAGAGACTACATTAGTAATAAATGTCTCAGTCCTGATAAGGGTAATAAATTCCTGCCAAATTGGGTTAGGCATAAGTATTCCCATTTTAAAGATGAGAAAATTAAGGTACAGGGGTGTTCATAAAGCTGATCAAGGTTACACAGATAGATGAAGTTGAGCTCTGAGATATGACTCTCTAACCCCAAAGTCGATGCTTTCATTCACTTATGCCCTACATACAAAGATATTTGAATTGAAATTACATTTTTTAAAGTTTTGAATTTTCTCGGATTGCCCCTGTTCTTTAGCTACAAAAATTGCAAATAGGAAAACTAAAAATTAATTTTTTCCTACTGAATTCTGAAAGTCTAAGTGATTCTATAACAATAGGGTTAGCTTCAGGAAGTGAAATTGTTAAAGGCTTGTTTGGAAAAAATATGAAAATTCAGTCGCACTTCCCTAAGAATTAGAGATCAGAATCACAGTTTGCCATGCTGAGAATCTTTTGGCCAAGCTTTGCTCAAATGCAAGGTAACTTATCTTTAAGCAGCTGTGAATACACTGGGATTATCATTTGTGCTGAATTTCATGGCAGTTTAAATGGAATTTCAGCACTTAGGAAAAGAAAGTCATTGACAAGATTTATCAGAATATATTTCTCTTTACATATCATAAATAAATTTCCCATCATCTTCAGTCTCATAGCCAGAAGAATGCCATTCTGAATTTGGTTTTGATTTGGATGTGGATGCTAATTTTCTGTATAAAAATTAGTAACTAGTGGTACTTTGTATTACTCAACATATTTGCTTCCCACAAATTTACTTCCAACAATTCTCTGGTGCTATATAGTAAAAGAAATAGAAATTCTCAAACAAACTGATGACTACCTCTTGATAACCCCTATTTTTTAATTAGAGGTTGAGATATGATTAATGAAAATGGCAGTTTGTTTCTTTTACTAAAATTTAATAGCTGGAACTAATGGTAATTTCAGGTCCCTGCTGCTGTTTTGGCTACTGGAACACATCAGAAATAGAAAAACTCCAAAAAGTCAGCTTTGTAAGACATCTTTATTGTGGGAATCAGAAGCTACTTTTCAAAAGCATACATTATGAATACTCTTCTTTTTATGTATGTGACAGTGGGAGTTATTTAATTGTTGGATTAAAAAACACTTCATGTAGACCTACAATTTTATGCTTCTTATTCACTGGTTGTGTTAGATAGTTTGGAATCCACCGAAAAGAGTGATATGGATTTTATTTTATTTATTTTATTTTATTTTATTTTATTTTATTTTATTTTATTTTATTTTGTTTTTTGGAACGGAATCTCGCTCTGTCACCCAAGCTGGAGTGCAGTGGCTTGATCTCCGCTCACTGCAAGCTCCGCCTCCTGGGTTCACGCCATTCTCCTGCCTCAGCCTCCGGAGTAGCTGGGACTACAGGCGCCCGCCACCATGCCCGGCTAATATTTTTTTTTGTATTTTTAGTAGAGACGTGGTTTCGCCATTTTAGCCAGGATGGTCTCGATCTCCTGACCTCGTGATCCGCCCGCCTTGGCCTCCCAAAGTGCTGGGATTACAGGCATGAGCCACCGTATAGATTGTATTTTATATTGTTCTTTCCACAAGGAGACTTCTGTCTTCTTAAATATTATTATTACAATTAGTTAAAATAATTTTCTGTCAGCACTCATTATTTCATAATCCTATAATTATCAAGTTTTAACCAACTGTATTTTCACAGATTTTCTGATTGTAAATTGTTGCCAGCATAGCATATAATGCTTTTGAAGAATACTTATTTATCATATCATGTTCTAACATCCTCTTTTGGAACTGGCATTAGTTATTACTCATTTTTTTTTTGGAATGACAGTAAGGACTCAATAATCTGTCTCTAATGGACATCTCAGACAAACAATTTGATTGAACAAGATATATGGCATAGGGACTATAAGATATGGCTTGGGAGCCATAGTGACTTGTGAAGCGTTCTACAGGTGGCAAACCAGAATTTACTAGAGTTTATTTGGGTAATTTATACACATACCTCCCCATTGCTCCTTGGCTCTCCCAGTTGATATTAATTATTTCATCTTCTGCATTCACAGCATTCAGGGCATATTTGACATCTGAAGACTCATTGCGGCTTCAGATCAGGCCCTATTACTTGACTTTGGTAGACATTTTGCTGAAGGTAGAAATTAGTCTAAATTGAGATAAAACACCAATGGTTAAAATGTATATCATTAATTTTCATTTCATTAAATAATTTTATTTTAACAGAAACCTCCAAGATATGAGAAAGGATTGTCTGGTATTTAAATTTCAGTCACTGTACTAAGGCATTAGCAAGAGAGAGATTAATAATAATAACTTCTACTTATTTGTATTATACATTGCCCCCTCACCATTTTCCTAATTATAAAATATTACTTCTGGGAAAAATAATCTGTAATATAAATTTTAAAAGTATTTGAAATAGAATTCAATAAATATTTTACTGTGGATTCTGTTTGCCATTTCAGCTTGAGATTGCATCCTAAAAGGCGTTTGTTGAAATGTCAATGTTGTACAACTTGGTCTATGAACTTAATAATATAAAGCTTTATTGTATTGACAATGCCATTCCAACCTATTTACAGTTTCTTGTAGCTTATGTGTTTTTTATTAAATAATTAGCCTTTTTAAGAAGTTTGCATTATTAGTTTCTAAAGTATGGTTTAGTGATGTCCCTTCATTATTGTTTCTTTAAGCTTGCATATAACACATGGAAATGGATTGGGTGCATTATTTATGCTAGATGGGGAACAGTTAAGGGAAACATTCATAAATATCAAACAGGGGAAAGTAAGAAGAATGTGAAAACTCTCTGAGCAATCCAACCGTTGATTAGCTATAGAAGTCCAGCTCCTCTTCTGACTTTCAAAGCTTTGATAGGTCAGGGAGGACAGCAGGCTCCGCGATTAAGGTCATATAAGTGCACCTGCAAATTTTAAGGTACACGTGCTGTTGACAAATATATCTTCAAAGGTAGGAATATGGCTCTGAATCAGTATGCACTTACATGAAATAAAAGTACCAGGTTCAAATTGTGATTTTTTAATATTTAATGGTATTTGTATTTAAGAAATAACTATTGAGCACCTACTGTGCATAGGATAATTAAGGGAGAAACAAAAAAAAATCAATTTCAGCCAATTTATTTTGCTTATAGTAGAAACATAAATTTAAGACTATGAATAGGTTCAATTTACTCAAATATGCAAGACACAATTCTTTGGCCAAGGCAATCTCCAGAGAAGTCCTTTTTTGTTTTAATATTTGATTATTTTTGCTTGATGTCTAAATTTTATCATAAAAAATATTAGCAAAATTGGAAACTCTACACTTCCCACTTTATTCAAACATTTTTAAATTTATTCTGAACATTAAAATGATATTTGTAAGCATTGTCTAATCTGATAATCTGTCAACAATTATTTAATAAAGAAAATTATTTAATATAAATTCCTCACAAAATGTTTCCAATATAAAATATTCGGAAACAATTTATTCATGGTTAAACTTTCTCATATTTCTAAATAAAAATGAACTGGCCGGGCGCGGTGGCTCACGCCTGTAATCCCAGCTCTTTGGGAGGCCGAGACGGGCGGATCACGAGGTCAGGAGATCGAGGCCTTCCTGCCTAACACGGTGAAACCCCGTCTCTACTAAAAATACAAAAAAATTAGCCAGGCCTGGCGGCTTGCGCCTGTAGTCCCAGCTACTCCGGAGGCTGAGGCAGGAGAATGGCGTGAACCCGGGAGGCGGAGCTTGCAGTGAGCCGAGATCGCGCCACGGCACTCCAGCCTGGGCGATAGAGCGAGACTCCGTCTCAAAAAAAAAACAAAAAACAAAACAAAAAACTGAACTAATATTATTTGAATGCAATTGACACCATATCTCCTTATTTGCTTTTAAAGTGGTATATGAATAATTATTTTACAAAGCGGGGTATATGAACAATTCTCAGGAAGCTCAGGAAATGGTAGGTTTGCAGTTTCCTCTTCTTGCTTCCTTACTCACGCTTGACTGAAAGTGAACTTTCAGGCTTTTAATTATCCTACGGCTTGAATTAAACCAGTGATAAATAGTTATTTAATTTGCTGTCAGCTTTAACTAACCTGAAGTGTGACAAAGCAATACAGAATTATCTATAGTAGCACCACTAAATCAGAGTAGCTGCTATTTAAAATCATGATGCTTTTTTATTGTACTACAGATGACTTACATTTAAGTAGCAAACTATTTTCAATATTTGGCACAAATAAGATGATAATATTTATATATCGAATACTGTTAGTTGTCCAGGAAGCATATATTCATTAATTTATTACTTCATGTAGTAAATAATTAATGAATCCTTCCCTTCATGGGCGGCTGATGCCATAGCATATAAAAAATGATAGTGGCTTGTATTAATCTGGAAAACTGATGGGAAGTGATTGGGTTCCAGATGTATTTTGAAAGTATAGGTGTTAGAATTCATGGTTTAGTTATTGGGTATAAAAGACATAGAAACATCAAGGATGACATCAAGATTTTTGCCCTAAGCAACTTAAAATAATATAATTGTCACTATCAAAGATGAGGAAGGTTGTGAAATGAACAGGTTTGGGGAGCTTATCAGGAATTCAATTGATCTAAAATAGTCATTACCACAACATATAATATGAAGTAATTTATTATTGTTTCTATTACATTTGAAAATTATTTTTAATGAAAATATGCTTAGTAGTCATTTAAATATATTACATTTGCAGTTTCTAAGAATTGAAAGAGCAAAGAAAATGTAGTTTTAAGGTGAATGGATATATATTGTTTACAATACTGAGCCTGTAAAAATGGAAAATGCTTGCAAACATAAAAATCTAACACTAAAATTACTGTTATAAAAGATGACAATAACTTAGACATAAAACATTTTATTTTTTCTAGTTTGACGAGTTTGAAATTAGCATTGCTTATAAAACCCCATATCTTCTGTATGAAATTTTATGAATACAATAATAGGAAAGGTGAAACTAACCTTGGCTACTAAGAGAGCAGTTTACATTTCTAAAGTTGTCATAGCTTCGCGTCTGACTTTTAGAATGTAGCTTGTGCTACTTTCAATGTATTTTTCTCGTTTCTTTGTTTACTGATAACATGGTCATTTTGAAAGAAACTCATTTGCTTCTCTGGTATCTCGGTATTTGTATAATATTCGTCAACTGCTTATGTCCTCTTTTCTTATTTTTATTTCCTATCCATATCTCACTACATTTTTGGTCCCTTAAGCTATTACATTTTTTCTGTACTCCTTGTTGGTTAATAATTCACCATTTGCATTTGTCCTGCTTCCGCTTTCAGAACAAGACAAAGATATGAAGACATTTCTGAATTTTCAAAAACTGCCAAGAGGTAATGATTACAGCATGCAGATTTACATAATTTAAAATATATAATAATTATAAATTATTAGGAGAATTCACTGTAACTTTTCATATTAATAGAATTATAATTATATAGTTATTTATTTGTCCAGGCTAAAATTCGTTGAAATACACAAAATAGCAGTCAGAAATTCAAGTGCTCTTGATGCAGGAGTTTTTGTTCCTTGGTTCAGCTAAAATCTCGGTTCTTGTCTCAGGACCAGCAAATGTTAGTCACATGGACACACTGAAGGGTGAGGAGGATGGCTTTACTGTATGAAAAGAAAGCTCTCAGCAAACGAAGAGGGGTCCTGGCAACAGGCTCCCACATCACAGACTGAATACCAGGCCACCACACAGGAGCTGAAGAGGCCAGGCTCATGCCCTTGCACAAGGCGCAAATTCCTGGTGGCTCCACCCCATTCTCCCAGTGCATGTGGGCCTCCAATCAGCATGCCCAGACAAGGCCCTGGGCAAGTTCCCTTACCTGCACAAAAACATGAAACATAAACACTTGTGGGGCGGGTCGGAGATTCTTCAGGGACCCTTCCTTATCTGCTTCCTGCATCTATCACTCTTGAGGGCAATAGGAAATGAACACGGACATTTGAGCATGTATATCGGCTGTGCATATAAACAAACATACTGATTAGTGGAACAGAATAGAAAGCCTAGAAATAGATTCAAACACATATGGGCAATTAATTTTTCACAAGGACACCAAGAAGACACAATGGGCAAAGAATAGTCTTATAAATGGTGCTGGTAAAACTGGATTTTTGAATGAAAGAGACTAAAAATAGACTCATATCTTACACTTTATACAAAATCAACTCCTAATAGATAAAAATACCTAAACATAAGAACTGGAACCATAAAACTACTAGAAAAATACATTGGGCAAAAGCTTCTTGACATAGACCTTAGCAACGATATCCTGGATGTCACAGCAAAAGCTCAAGCTACAAAAGTGGAGATACTGACATGGGACTACATCATACTAAAAAGCTTCTGCATAGTCACAAAACAATCAACAAAATAAAAAGTAACCTTGGGACTGAGAAAAAAATTGCAAACTGTATATCTGATAAGGGGTTAATATCCAAAATTTATAAGGAAATAGTACAACTCAATAGCAAGAAAAATATAACCCAATTAAAAGATGGACAAAGGAGCTAAATAGACATTTCTCCAAAGATGACATAAAAATTTTCAAGTATATGAAAAAGTGTTCAACATTATTAATCATCAGGGAAATTATGAGATATAACTTCACACCCGTTAGGATATATATTATCAAAAAGAAAAGAGATAGTAAGTGTTGGCAAGGGTGTGGAGAAAAGGGAATCTTTTACAGTGTTTGTGGGCATGTGGAATGGTATAGCCATTATGCAAATTGTGTGGATTTTTCTAAACAAATTAAAAATAGAATTACTGCATGACACAGCAATCTCTCTTCTGGGCATATACCCAAAGGAAATAAAATCATCACCTTGTAAGTCGATTTGCACTCTCATGTTAATTGCAGCATAATTCACAATAGCCAAGATATTGAAACAACGTAAGTGTCCATCAACAGACAAATGGATAAAGAAACTGTCATACATATATACAGTGGAATATTATTCAGCCTTAAAATGGAAGAAGATCCTGCCGTTTATCACAACATGGATGGAGCTGGAGGACATTATGCTAAGTGAAATAAGCAAGATGCAAAAAGAAAAATATTGCATAAACTCATTTATATGTGGAATTAAAAAAAAAGAAGGTCTCATATACAGAAATACAGAGTAAAACAGTGGTTACCACGGTCAAGGGAGAGGAAGGTAGGCATAGAGAAATATAGGTCAAAGGATACAAAGTAGCAGATATGTACAAGTCTAAAAGTCGAATGTATAACATTAGAACTGTAGTTAATACTGCATTGTATTTAGAATTTTTGCTGAATTAGTACATTGTAACTACACTTCTCCCTAGGATATAAATGGGTAACTATGTAAGATGATGGTTATTTTCATTTGTTTCACAATAATAACAAATTTACTAAATATATTTATCTCATAACTCATGTTTTATGCCTTAGCTATACAGAATAAAATTGATTTTTAAAATTTACCACCTGTTTTAAGAGATAAAGAAAATTCAACCTATCTCTTTGATGATTTCATTTAGCATTAATATATAAAAATTAAACATGTAAAACAGGAAAAATATAATTTTTAATGCAAAAATGCAGAAGTCTTAAATCAGAAAAATTTGATTTATAAGCTGTATTATTAATTAGTGTCATTTAAAATTATATTTAGGAGCTTGGGGGCATAAGGTCATCAAGCAGTCAAACCATTGTATCTTATCTTATTCCTACATCCCCTTCTATTTCCAATGATTCAAAAATCTGTCTTCTAATAAATTCGCTGTATCTAATTGCAGGCCTGCTGGGTACTTCCCTGTAAACTTCTTCCATAACTCTATACTGAAGATTAACCTCTTAAATATGGCAAAGAAAGTCCTCATGATGACCCCACTCTGTGCCTTGCTATTTCACTTGCCAAAATCCTGAGCCACACATGCTTCTCCACATACATAGTATGGTCACACACCTCTTCCTTGTCTATGCTCAGAATTCATGGAAGCCACTATCCAGGATGGGTTATTAATGTTCTTCCTACAAACTCCTATAAATGTCTCCAACTTATAAAAGCATTACTTTATAAGAGACATTCTCTAAGGGCTTTATGTACATAAAGTCATTTAATTCTCACAATATCTGTGCATGGTAGGAAATATTATTTCATTTATATATGAACTCTGAGGCAGATAAGTTTGGCAAAAGCCATTAGTCTTCTAAGTGGTAACACTGGATTAAATTTTCAGAAAGCTTGGAGTCAGGATCTGTGCACCTAAACACTGCACTGCAGAGGACCTGTGTATACTGCTGTCGTGCCATGAACCCTATTACATTATAATTATTTATTCATTGTTTTTTGCCTCTGTCAGTGTCTTGAGGGCAATGGCTGATCTTAGTTTTGTGCCAGTAAGTCCCTATAATAGTAGTTACTTCACAATCAGTGCAATATAAATGTTTGTTAAGCTAAATTTCAAACAAATGTTAATTATCTCTTGTCTTTTGTGCAGTGCCTGGCACATACAGATGCTCAATTTTTGAAGGTATGAAGGAAGAGATAAAATATAAAAATAAGGAAGAGGAAAAAATAAAAGAAAAAAAGGGACTTATTCTTAGTGGGTGGAGGAAATATAATTAAAAGCAAAATCTTCTCCCAACCCAGAAATTCTCTCCCTTAAGGTGGCAGAGAAAGAAAACATCTTTTATTATTGAATACGCATAAAACCAGATGTAACATGCATTACAGGCAATCCATTAAGAGACAATAAAGACAGAAAGAATTCTCACCCTTTTAAACAGCAAAGCAGTTACAATCCATTACATACACATTTTCAAAATAAACAATAACTAGTCATCAAGAGGACTTGACAGCACCATTTGTCACACAAGGTATATTCTAACTTCACCTGTTAATAGGCATCACTGCCTATGATAACTCATTGGCTTTATCCAGAGTAAAAGCAAACTTCCCATATCTTTATGATAGGAGGTAGTTTTGCAGCTTGGAGCAAAAGATCCAAGGATGTTAGGCTTCTACCATCCCAGAGAAATTGACAGATAGAGGTGCTATCTTCTTTGATGTTTACATTTCACAAACATGGTACCCAGGTTCTAAAGAAAGATATTCTTAGGTCATAGAGCTGGCAAAATGCCAGTCTGGTCTTCACAAGGATTTACATACATTTCAAAGACAGGAGAATGTACTCACAGTTATTCTAGAGTAAATGCTCAGAGACAAAGGAGGGAAGGGAAATCTCTCTTCAAAAGGTAGAATTAAGCCTCTAGTTTTAATTTGTATTTGTCCTTATAAGTAGAGTGAACAGATAACATGTCAAAGGGAGCGTGTTATATCCAGAACATCAAAATGCGCCAGGACTTGCTTACAAGAGTTTTCCTTGGAAGAAACATTCAGCCTCTGTGGGGCTTCATTTTCATCTGTAAAATAGTGAGTTGCACTGGATATTTTGTAAGGTCACTTTGGGACTTATTGCTCTATTTCAAAACAATGAAAAAACTGAGTGTCCAGTGAGGATGACAGTGTTGTTAATTTCCATGTCCATACTTGTTTGAACTTTAATTACTCTGATCTCTCTAACATGCAATCATGACATTTGTTGAACAGCCGTAGACCTCTAAACCATAAGAAAATGAGAATCACAGGGTTTCTAGTATGCACTTAACACATATCTTTAAAAAGCTTGCCAACCTGAGTGACTGTGTATTTAAAAGAAGGATCTCACTTTTATAATACAGAATATTGTAACAACAGATAATGGACAATGAAAGAAGATTTATACATACACACACACACACACACACACACACATATATATCTTTAAGGTGTAAGGCTAGAACAGTGGCCTTGCATTTACTGCCACTATCAGAATTATACAGATTTACAAATATTATTTTCTTGGTCTACAGGCATGCAGCAAGTGCCATGGTAATATTTCTTCTATTTTTTTTTTCCTATAGGAAAAGGTGGGCGCCAAAAATAAAAAATAAGTTTGTTTCTTTCCTCTTTATCTGAGAAAAGTTTTCTTATACATTTTACTTCATAAATCCTGGTAGCAAATGTAAGTGAAAACATTTAACATTTCTGCTAAATACATGTTTACAGAAAAATTAAAAAGAACACTATCGTTTACAAAATAAATATCCCTGAGGGGGGAAAAATGTTTTGATCGCCTGGGCCCCTAGGTGCTTGGAAGTCTTTTCTTCTAAACCTAATTCCCAAATGTGTAAAGAGTATTCTAAAGAACTAACAGATATGAAACTCTGTGCATAGTTAATCTATACACTGCAAAGAGCATCCTACAAGCAATACATTATTTGTGCATTGTATTTATATGTGTGTGTGTGTGTGTGTGTGTGTTTCCATGCTATAAACACCCATAAGTTAACCTTAGGGCAGAAGAGGCTACTCCATCCATTTAGAAGTGCTTTAAAAACTCAAAAAAATTTAAATATATGATCCTACTCATTTCTTTATGTGAGTAAATGAGAAATGATGGTAATGATTGAAATATAGAATCTTTCTTTGAAAAATTGTTTTGAACCATTTCCCAAAAAAATGGCCACAATGTTTTTATTGCACCTTTAATATATGATGATTAAAAAAACAAAAAAGCTTTGTTTCTCATTTAGCACACCCAAGCTCTTCTGCTTCTGTATGAACTATGCTGAATAATCTTGCATTATGTCATATTTTTCTATATGGTTTTCTCTTTATCGGTTGCTATTTTTATCTACCTCGCTTAACTCTCTGACCTCAATTTTTGTCTTTCCTCATTTCACTTCAAACACATATGCTTCCAGGATCCTACTTCATATGCTCCCATTATAAGAACAGGATTCTACCAAATTACTATCTGCAAGCATAACACCTCCAACTATTTTACGTCTTTGTCAATTATCATGTTCTTAATGAGGTGCGGTGAAAAATGTATTCAAACCCCTCCTCTACCACCAGAGTAATTATTTGTAATTCTTTTTATTGTGGTAAAAATATATATAAAGGATAAATTTTCTCATTTTAGACATTTTAAGGTGTATAATTCAAGCACATTAATTACTTTCGCAATATTTTGCAACCATTACCACTCTTTCCAAAACTTTTTCATCAGTGCAAACAGAAATTCTATAACCACAAAGCAATAAATCTGCATTCCCTTCTTTTTTTAACCCCCCTAATCTCTAATATACTTCCTAGGTTAGATTAGTTTGGATTAGATCGACATCTAAACGAATCTATGAATTTGCCTATTTTACACATTTCATATAAATGGAATCATAGAATATTTGTCCTTTATGTCAAATGGATATGAGATATGCATTTCCCTAATAGTTAATGAAACAGATCTTTACAATTTCTTGTTGGCTGTTTGTATACCTTCTTTAGAGAAACACTTATTCAAGTACTTGGACCATTTTTAAAATTAGGGTTTTTATTTTTGTTGTTGATGTTTGTTAAGTTGTAGGAGTACTTTTATGATCTGGATATCAAACTCTTATCAGATATATAATTTGCAAATATTTTCCCATTCTATGGGTTATCTCTCACTTTCTTAATAATGTCCTTTTATGGTGTATTAGTCACAATTCTCAAGAGAAACAGGGAGATTTACTTTAAAGAATTGACTCATGCAATTATGGCTACTGGCAGGTCCAAATTACGCCTGGGAGGCCAGCAGGCTGGAAACGCAGAAAAGAGATGCAGTTTTGGTCCAGGTGTAATCTGCTGGTAAAATTCTCTTTTTCTCTGGAGAGGTAGGCCCTTTTTTCTATTAAGACTTTTAACTGATTACATTAGGCCCACCCAAATTATGGAGAGTAATCTGCTTTACTCAAAGTCTACTGATTTAAATGTTATTGTAATCTAAACAATTTTCACAAAAACATCTAGAAAAATGTTTGTCCAAATATCTTGGTACTGTGGCCTAGTCAAGTTGACACACAAAGTTAATTTATCAGAGATGCACAAATTTTTGTGTGTGTTTTGTATTTGTTTCTTAATGTTGATTAGGGCCAATGTATCTATTGTTTCTTTTGTCATTCATGCTTTTGGTGTCATATCTAAAAATCAGTTGTGAAATGCAAGGTCATAAATATTTACCTCATTTATTGTCTTTTAAGGATTTTATAGTTGTAGCTTTTATATTTAGGTTGTTGTTCCATTTTGAGTTAATTTTTATATGTGGTATGAGATGGGGTTCACTTTATTTCTGTTGCCTGTGGAAATTCAGTTTACAGTTTACTCAGCCTTATTTATTAAAGAGATTCTCTTTTCTTATGGAATATATGTAGAACCTTTGTTAAAAATCATTTGAGCATAGATATATGAGTTTATTTCTCTACCTTTAATTCTATTACTTTGGTCTGTATGTCTACATATGGCCATCTCCAGTGTTTTGATTAGTGCAGCTCTTGCTTTATTTCTACATAAAAACAGAACCACATTTTTGTATTACTGTTGATGTGTAATAAATTTTGAAATTTGGAAGAGTGAGCTCTACAACTTTGCTCTTCTATTTCAAGATTGCTTTGAGTATTTGGAACACCTCAAAATTCCCATGAATTTGTGTCTTGTTCTCCCATTTTTGCCAAAACAGCTGTTGGAATTTGGATAGAGATTGAATTGCATCAGTAGATTTTAATAATGTTAACATGTTAAATATATTGTCTTTTATCCATGAATATAGTATGCCTTTGCATTGTTTTAGATCTTTAATTTATTTCAGCAATGTTTTGTAGTTGTCAGAGTCTCTAATATCCTTGGTTAAATTTATTCCTATTTTATTATTCTATAGGAAGTTATAAATGAAATTACTCTCTTAATTTCTTTTTCTTCTTGATTTTTTATTGCCAGTGTATAGACACACAGTTCATTTTTGAACAATAATCATTTTAATTGTTGAAAATATCCAAGACAAATGAAAGAAAAGTACACTTTAGAAAACTCTATATTCCCTATTGCTGAGAAAATTCTGAAGAATCTGCATATTTATTTGACAGCTGTACTTCAGACAGCCTTTCTACATTGAAGGATATTGAATTTAGTAGTCTCTAAATTCTGAAATGATTTTCCCAAATGACAATTTATTACATATTTTATCTCTCCTTTTGTCTGCTTTCTTTACTGTCTCTAAATTTAAAACTCCTTATGTCTTGAAAGGCTTGAAAAAGTTATATCAGACCAGATATAGCTAATTTTATAAGCAAGTAAGATCTGCACCATTTTATTTTTGAAATTCTATATAATTTGAGGACTAAATGTGCTCTGAATGTGTGTGTGTGTGTGTGTGTGTGAGAGAGAGAGAGAGAGAAAGACATTAAAAAAGAGATTAAACTTGAGATTTAGATTCAGAGTATGAAAATAAGGGAGAAGAATACAAAGCTTTAAAATAATTATAGGGACAGGAAATTTGTGTGATAAATTAATTGAAGTGAAATGAGGATGGTTTATTTCCAAAATACTAGAGTGTGTTCAAATATGGAAACCCGCCTGTTCCTGTTGTTAAAATATGTTATAATTAGGCCGAAACTGAATACCATCTTGAAAACACACAGAATATTGACATGGTCATAAATATGAAACATTTTCATGGATGATTATTAGAAGTAAGAAAATATAAGCTTTAATGATCCCCAGATTAAGGTTTCTAGAAAATTGAACCTCTAAAAATTCACTAGTATTATATGTGAATGTGTAGGGAATAATATATGTTATTTTTAGATCTTCCCACTTTTCTTCAATATTTAATCAGTTTTATGGTCTCTGTATTAAATTTTTCTTCTTTGAAAGTTTGAACTCTGTGCTGTTTGTTTTTCCTGCACCTAACATAATGTCCTCTGTATAATACATACTTAGCATTTATTGGTTGAATTAATATATCATACATTTCCTGCTTCTCCACCAGGTCTGCTCTCTGCTCTTCCCACCATACTCTTTATCCTAGGAGGCTGATCTATCTATCTGGTTTACATCACTTAAGAAATTTATACATTTGAGCTTCTGAATTCTCATAGAGTTGGACCTACAGGCAGAAGATTAAAGGATAAGGTCATCATATTTACTCCTGTCTTTGCAAGATCACCAGGCTGGCACTTTCTGTCATCTGAAGGTCATAGTCATCTCAAGAAAGCCCCCCCCTTTTTTTTTAACAGATTTTTCTCTTTCAGGATTCAATTACTATCATCTTGCTTTGTAATCTATCTTATTATTGCTACATTATGCCACACATTTTTACATGGGTCCTTGGTAAACCATTGTAATATTACTCATATTTGAATGTGCATTTCATTTATATTGGGGCAGTGAGGAATAATCTAATGGCCATTTATACAGCAGAATAGTTTATGAAGATTAATATTCTACAAATAAACAGCACACAAATGCTAGTTAAATGCTGTTTTATGGTTAACATAACTTCTCCAGTTGAATTCCTCTTTTTTCCTGTTATGTGATGTATACATAGAACAAAAAGACAGTAGAGAGCTTATGATATTTCTTTTGTCCTCTTAGCCATTAAAGAAGGTATCAAAAAATAAAATTAAATAAACACAAAAGTTTATACTTTTCTCATCACGATCAATAAACGTTTTGAAACTGACAAAGTTAAAAGAGAAGAAACTTCTTTACAAGTCACTGCATATAAAATATAACTTCCTTTAGGAAATTATCTTTTTAAAATATACTCTTAAGTAGTCTTCAAGTGGTTGTGACCTGCAATCTGTAATGCTGTCATTATAGTTTAGCAATCTTAGGTCTGGTATCATAAAATGTGCCTCTACATCCTGTGATACAGTAAGTAAAAATGAACATGAAGAGTTGCTCCCTACATAGAATATATTTGAACAATAAGTACATAGATTATGTAATAGCAATAATTTTAAGATTGAAGATATTAGTGAGATAATGTTTATTTTTTGCTGTTTCTTCCTGTCTTACTTTACTTTGTTGACAGTGATATTAAGAGGTTATTTTCTACATAATTGATATTATTCATTTATTTTCTTCTCATTCTTCATAGGCATTAAATGGTAGCTGCATATGGCAGAAATAAACTCTAGTCCTTCCAGAGTTATGGGCAGGAGGGAAATGGGGGTAATATTTATTAGGAGACTTGATTAAAAAAGAGAATGATAGTCAGTGATTGAAATTTCACCTGAACAATTTCTTTCGCTATTCTTTTCTTCCCAACTTCTAGAGGAAAGGATCATATTTAGGATTACCTGATAATTCAGTTTTCTAGGCAGAATCCATGTTTATGTTTTTGATTTTATGTAACTATAGATTGTAACAATTTTACTCTCAGAAGTGTTCCAATTTGTATAAAAATTATATGTTCACCTTACTTATAAAATAATATTTCTTATATATCAAATCTAAGTTAGGATGGCCAGATTTTAAAAAGTTGCATACTCTATGCAATATTTGGCACATATATGCGTTAGAAAATGCATATCTAAAATTCAAAGTTAAACAGAAACTGTATTTCTGTATTTTAACTGGCAACTTTACTTAGAGGAAACGGAAAATCTGAGGTAAGGTAATAATAGCATTCCAGCCCTTGCACTACACTTCAGTGAATAAGACTCCAAAGCCAAACTTGAATTTAAAAGGCATTCAAAAGTTTTCCTCAAATATTTTTAATATTTTAAAGCAGTAAATTAATACATACATGGTAAAATAAATACTTTGACAAAAAATAAATGAAATGTTATTATTTATTTATTATTATTATTTTTTGAGATGGAATCTTGCTCTGTCGCCCAGGCTGGAGTGCAGTGGCAGGATCTTGGCTCACTGCAACCTCCACCCACCCCCACCCAGGTTCAAGCAATTCTCTTGCCTCAGCCTCCGGAGTATCTGGGATTACAGGCGTGTGCCATCACGCCCAGCTAATTTTTGTATTTTTAGTAGAGATGGGGTTTTGCCATGTGGGCCAGGCTGGTCTTGAACTCCTGACCTCAGGTGATCCTCCTGCCTGAGCCTCCCAAAGTGCTAGGATTACAGGCATGAGCCACCACGACTGGCCCAAATGCAATGTTAATTTTATTCTATCCCCAGGTTGGCAATTTCCCCAGAGGCAAACACAATGAACAACTTCTTGCATGCCTATTGCATGTCTTTTATACATACTTTATTTTGCATATACATATAGATGCATGTATTAAATATAATAAGCATAGGTAAATGGAGAGGAGAGAGAGATACACAGATAGGTGTCATATCTGTGTATGTGTTTATTCCATCTAAAATTTATTATCTATCTAAAGTTTATTATCATATAACTATTACTATACCATAGAGGATCACTTATATCTACAGTTTGGAAATTGACACTGCATATAACATTTATCCCTTTTTTTCCATAGATTTAGCATAATTTATTTAGCTAGTCCTTCTTCGAAACCATTTATGTTTTTTCCACAATTTTATCAGCATAAATTTCCTTTAAGTCAAAGTTTATATCCACCATTATGTTCATCATGGAATTTTTCATGAGGATAATTATCAGATTAGGCTATGTACACTTTAACTGTAAATAATCATATCAATTTACAGTTTCACAAAAAGATTATGGCTGCCTGTTGCTCCTCACTTGTTTATCACACTACGTATAATAAAACATTTTAGCCTTTGTCAAGTTTTGGGGTCAACATATTTTAACTGGTATTCATATTAATATATGAGTAGGCTTATGCATGTTAAAAATTAAAAGTTGCTTTTCTAGGTGAAAAATGTTTTTTCACATATCTTTTTATTTTTCTGTCATGATTTACTGTTTACAAAATTCTTTATACATATTAATAAAATAATTATTACATCGCAACTGTGTCTTCCTAATGTGTTACTCATATTCTGATTATGATCGTAGATTTCTTTTAAAACTTATTTCAAGTTCAGGGGTACAAGTGCAGGTTTGTAATATAGGTAAACTCGTGTCACGAGGGTTGTACAGATTATTTCACAATCCAGGTATTATGCCTAAATCCCAATAGTTATTTTTTCCACTTTTATTTCTCCTCCCACCCTCCAGACTCAAGTAGGCCCCAGTGTCTATTGTTCCCCTCTCTGTGTCCGTGTGTTCTCATCATTTAGTTCTTACTTATAAGTGAGAGCATGTGATGTTTGGTTTTCTATTCCTGTATTAGTTTACTTAGGATAATGGCCTCCAGCTCCATCAACGTTCTTGCAATGAACATGATCTCATTTTTATGGCTGCACAGTATTCCATGGTGTATATATACCATGTTTTCTTTATCCAATCTATCATTGGTGGACATTTAAGTTGACTTCATATCTCTGCTATTGTGAATAGTGCTGGAATAAACATACATGTGCATGTGTCTTTATGATGAAACACTTTATATTCCTTTGGGTACATACCCAGTAATGCGACTGCTGAGTTGAATGGTAGTTCTGTTTTTAGCTCTTTGAGGAATTGGCACACTGTTTTCCACAATGGTTGAACTAATTTATATTCCCATCAACACCATGGATTTTTCATAATAAAAAGTTTAATGTATTCATAATTTAATTCTTTCCTTTTTTAATTCCTATGCTACTTAATAAATCCTAACATAATTAAATTATTCAAATATTTTCTTATTTTCTTCTGGCAAACTTATACATATATTAATGTTTTCACTTATTTATATTTCTACTTTTATCTGTAATGTATTCTGATATTGGAAAACAAGAATTCAGCTTTTTCTCCACCCAAGCCTCTATGTTTTTTTCCAAGTATCCGAACACTTTGTTGAATAAATCAGCTTTTCTCTATTGATTTTAAGTTCATGTTTTATTGTATCACTAAATTCATGAGTATTTAAGACTATTTTGGATTTTTTCCTGCTATTTTACCTATTATTTTATGATTCAGAACTAAATTAAATTGCTCTGATTGTGTTTTACAATATATTTTAATATTCATTGATTTTTTGTCAAAATTTCTTTGATTTTGTGTGCATATTTTTCCATCTAAATGCTATATTCTTGTTAATGTTTTAAAAAAGAAATAACTTATTTTACTGGACTGGAAGTCTTAACTTTATAGGTCAATTTAAAGTAAAATAATATCTTTATATTTACCTTTTAGTTCAGAATCAGTTGGCTTTTTTCTTTTTTCTTTCTTTCTTTTTTTTTTTTGATAGGATCTTGCTCTGTTGCCTAGACTAAAGTGCAGCTGCGTGATCTCAGTTCACCCCAGCCTCAGTCTCCCAGGTTCAAGCAATTCTTGTGCCTCAGACTCCCAAGTAGCTGGGAGTACAGATGTGCGCCACCAAGTCCAGCTAATTTTTGTATTTTTAGTAGAGACGAAGTTTCGCCATGTTGACCAGGCTAGTCTCCAACTCCTGACCTCAAGTGATCCACCGACCTGGGCTTCTCTAAGTGCTGGGATTACAGGAATGAGCCACAGCATCTGGCCAGAACCAGTTAGCTTTTGCTTATTTAAAAAGATATATGTATCCAAAAGTTAGTAGCTTCGTGCACCATTCAAATATATGGGTTGGCAATGAGAGCTGGGTCCTGCTGGGTGTTGATGTAGATCTTCCCTAGGGTCACCAGATGTTTACAGTCAGCTAACAAGATGTCCACAAGCCAGCTGGCCTAAGATGGTGTGTTGGTTACATTCATGTGTTAACTTGACTAAACTATGGTGCTCAGTAATTTGGGCAAACAGGAATCTAGTTGTTGCTATAAAGGTATTAGAAGTGATGAACATTTACAATAAATCAGTTCATATCCAGTAAAATTTACTTAATAATGTCAGTGGCTTCTTCCAATTTGTCGAAGGCTTAAGTAGAAAAAGGTGGACTTCCCAAAAGAAGAGGGACTTGTACCAGCAAACAACCTTTGGACTTGAACTGCAACACTGACCCTTCCCTGAGTCTCCAGCTTGCCAGCCTACCCTTCAGATGCAGGACTTCTCAGCCTAAGTAATCACAAGAGCCTATTCCTTAAAACCTCTCATTTTATTCTCTTATTTTATTCATTTTATAGCTTTCTTTTAAACATTATGAATAGTAACTATTGCAAGACTTCTGCCAAAAGGGATGAATAAATCAATAAGCTGGCACTTTTGTACATGTCTGCAGTTGATTTCCATTTCAATTTATGTCGGTTGCATATTTGCACCACATTTCTATATATATTGCAATTTTTCCAAGTATCTGTATAAATACTTTACAAAGGCATTTATCTTTTACATTTACATGCAGTCACTACTTATCCATCATTCCTCATCTGGTGACATATTACTGCAGTTGTAGTGCTATTTGCAAGGCGTAGTTTTTCTGCCAAATAAGTACATTAACACAGCCTTTTTGTACACACAACATGCCTGCATATTTCCTTGTTGGAATCTCCCTTCTTTGCCAGCCTGTAGAGCCAGTGTTGCTGTTCCAAGTAAGGAGCTATTGTTTTGGCCATCTTTACCTTTAATAAACTATTTTGCTGTTTAAAATGCATAAGCTCTGAGAGCCATGCATTTTTTCTCAGCATCCTTTCTCGTCCCAGTTCAATTTTCTGTGTACTTTGAAGGCATCTTTCATAAACTGAAATTGAAATTATGGATGTTTTCTATATTCCTCCTTTCATTGAAAATGGAATTTTCTAATTTTCAGCTAACTTTAAAGTACAAAGAGTTGGAGAAATAACTAGTCTAACATCTTTAGATGAGCAGAGAATGCTAAAGTGTCTTTAAGGTCTTAACATTTGAAATGCTTAACAGAAAGAGAAAATATTATGGCACCTAAATCATACTGATAATTGTTTTATGATCATTGTTTAAGTTTTAATAATCTATACCATCCACAGATAAGAATATCAACGTGACTGATGATTAAGACAGTGATAAACAGTGACAATCATATTAAGGCAGACTCCCACATTAATATCTCAGTCAAAAATTTATACAAATAAAGTTTAAAACTTGGATAAATTTCAACAAAAAAACAGAATATAAGATTTGTGGTTAACATTACCAATTTCATTATATATAATGGATACTTAGCACCTTTACTTGGTATGTTTCTGCCATTCATGAAGTTTTGAAATTTAAGAACTTTAAGCTAAACAATTTAAATAGAGTCTGTTTACTTTTCTAAATTTGCTTTGACAAAAACCTATAGTTTCAATAATTTTTCCATTTCCAATATAGTCGATTATGTACTTCCTTCTTTGTTTATATGTGCATAACATAGTTTGATATCAAATTAAGTTTCTTACAAAAATGTTGGTAGGGATTTCTTTGTGCTCTTTAAGATATGTAATTTTGTCTTATGGAAAATAGCCATTTATTTTGAATACGTGGCTTGGAAAAAATAAGTAGTCTGCACTGTGAAAGCAATGGTAAAATTGTAGGTAGGCAATAAGAAAACATGACACATAAGAAAGATGTTTAGTTAGGAAACTTGACTGGAAAACAGAGGAAGCAAATCCATAGATAATATATAACTGGTAAGATTCTAATAATTATTTGCTTTTAATATAGAGTGATTTCCTCTAATTTAACTATTAACGATCACACTCAGAATTTTTCTAAGGCAGGTAACTCTTTGCCGAATTGAAAACATCTGAACTAATTGTCTGAGTTCTATTTTCAGGGTTGTCAAATAATTTTCTTCTTTTCAAAATCCAATGTTACGCCTTATTAATTTTGCATGAATTCGATGTGTCAAGAAAATGGATTAATAGTACAGGAGTTACTCTGTCAGTATTTAAGACTGAGTAAAATAATAGACTGGCCAGGAAAATAATATTTTTTAAAAATTTTGTATCTCCAGTTACAAAGCACATATTTATTATTTTACTTTTTTATTATCAGAAAGTAGCGATTGGTATAAATGCAGATCTAACTGACACCTTTGTATATTGAAGTTTTAAAAAGTAATTTATTCTTATTTCTTTAGAAGGTAACTAGAAAAGAAATAGAAATAGAAGAGACAGTCAATAGATGTATGCTAAATTATAAGTACTCTAAAGCTTTTATCTATTGGTGATAATGTTACCCAGTCTCCAAGTGGTTAAAGCACAATGAACACTAAGGGAAGAGTATTGGCATGAGAATAATACCAGCCATGAGAACGGTAGGGAATTTTGCTCATATGAAGGAGCACATGATGTAATCCCAGCACTTTGGGAGGCCGAGGCGGGAAGATCATGAGGTCAGGAGTTTGAGATGAATCTGGCCAACACAGTGAAACCCCAACTCTATTAAAAAGACAAAAATTACCTGGGCATGGTGGAGGGCGCCTGTAATCCTGGCTACTCGGGAGGCTGAGGCAGGAGAATCGCTTGAGCCCGGGAAGCAGAGGTTGCTGTGAGCCGAGATCACGTCACTGCACTCCAGCCTGGGAGACAGAGCTAGACTCCGCCAAAAAAAAAAAAAAAAAAAAAAAAAAGAAAGAAAGAGAAAAAGAAAAAGCGCATGAAAACCCTAGACCACTGTCATTATTACTCTCTAAGATTAACTTTAATAGTCAATTACAAATGGTTGAAACTCTAGAGAGAAAATATGTTTCCATTAATAGTGCAATTATATTTTGAAAGTAAATATGGTGTTAGGAAGATCACAACAAGGATTCAAAAACAGAAGCTATTCATGTGGTCTTTTATCAATTGCTGTGGCATTACCTGGTATCTTCTCTAGGACCACTCAGCTTGCATTATAGATAATTCAATAAAATGAATACAGTAAGTTTGTTTAATAAGCTGAAAAGAAAGAAGCTAATTATTGTTGTTATTTTGCAACGACTATTTTTACAATATTTCTGTCAGATCTTATCTTGCCACTCTTGATTGCAATCCTAGAAATATCCTTCAGTGTCTCTTGTCACTTTCAATTCTTCACAATGTCATTTTTCAGACAATAACAGAATCTGATCCTGTTAATGTTAAAGCATTGATTTACTTTCCAATTATATGTCTTTGCTCTCCAGCTCAGTCCTAATCTGATGAAAATCTTTAGGGAGGAAGAAGAATATAGCATGTTTAATTTCTTCTCTTTTTCAGCCATTGCTTGACATATTCACTACCCTTTGTTCTTTTCTTTCACATCAAGGTTCAGAGAATCTAAAACCTTTCTCATTTTCTTGAAGAATCCTAAGATTTATTGAGATGGGCGACTTTCTTATCTATCACTTTAAATTTCAGCTTCCATAAAGTTTTGATCATGTTGTTTTATCAACTTGACTCCTATTCTTTATAACCACGCTTTACTTTCAATAGTACAACTGTCACCTTTCTTTCTAATTTAAAGCACCACAAACCTAAAGTTGTTGCATATAACAGATTTTAGGGAAAAAATATTTCACAGCAATGAACTGGGACTAATGAGTTCGTTACCTGTGCCTGCTTAGGCTTATTTCAATGAAAGTAATCCAAAGCCAGTTCTCGAAATTACGCAGATTGTGCCTCTTCATGAAAAATACGAAACTCCCCAATATAATACACCTCAATTTCTACTTTATTGAACAATTTTTCGCATTGTTTTCAAGGTAGGCAAGGAAGCATTAAGAATATCTCCTTTAGGACGACGGGCACACTTTAATTTCTATAAGCATGGAGATAGCATGGTGTAGTGGGTAAGAGGACAGTCTCAGGAGATAGAAGTCTCTCCCTCCGACCAGCTATGTGACTCAGGAATGTTACTGCCTCTCCCTTGGTTTCATACCTCTAGTTGAAAGTGGTGATAATGCAGTACCTATCTCATAGTGCTGCTGGGAGATTTCAATGACTTAGTTGTAAAGTGCTTAGAGCAGGGTCTGGCTCAGAGTAAGCCTTACATATGAATTTATAAAGTACATGAATTGGATGGCGTCAGGTTACATCATCTGAATACAATGGAAAAATCATCATCTTAAGCAATAGGATATCAGGAAGGTATGAATATAAAATTGTTTGGTCACAGAAGTCTCCGTCCCAGGGCTAAATTCTTTATATAGTTTGTGATTCAACAGTAAACTCAAAGAAAGAGAAACAAACAAGAACATCATTTCTGGTACTTATAAGTATTTTTCTGTGTATCTTTTATTAGTAATTTTGAAGATGTCTTTTCCTATTTCTCTCACTGACAAACTCTGGAAAGATTACAATCTAGTGTGGGAGAACAAAGGAGGACACGTAGTTCTAGAAAAATACATAAAAGGAAACCAATTAAAATTGAATACTAGACATTTAACATGAGGTATTTTGCCACTTTGTGGCAGAAAATTTCTCTGTGGACTGACTTTTGAAGCATCTCCCTGTTTTCTAACAGATTCTCCATTTCTCTTCAAAAATTGCATCACTCAAACAACGAACGCCTTTTAATCTATGATACATCACAATTTTGCATGATAAAATATGCTAATTATGTGCTTTTCTATTCAAGAGAAACTGTCTACCACTGCCCACGACCCCAAATTACAGAAATGAAACCATCTCTTTTTAAATAGTAATTTATGCTTCTGTTATATTTACTGGAAATATTAACCATGTGTAATAAGCATAGGTATCTCGTTTGTATCCAAATAATGTATTTGATCTGAATTTTCAAGGACTTTGAGTATATATTATTATAAACAACATAACTATCACTGAGCTCATCTTATATTTTCTGCCTTAAAGACCCCTTACTGTATGTGTCATTTATTTCAGATAGTCATGATTCCATCAGTAACATACATAGGACCTAAATTTATGTTTGGGTCTTCCTTTTAGTCTCACACAAATCTATTGTCATGGCATGCCTAAACTTTAGTGGTTATATGTTTTCCAATAATTAGTTCTTACTAGCATTGACATCATTCCCATTTCATCTCAAATCAAAGATGCACAAAGGATGACTAAAATAGTCACACAATTTTTTCTTCTTTGTCTTCCAATCATCTCCTAGACATATCATCTATTATTCTTTCTTATTGACATTAAATGTTTCACAAACATTCTCAACAGTTTTTAATAGCTGTTGAGCAAAAAGTGCTCAACTTTTCATTCATTAATTTCTTAAAGAGTAATTGATAACAGTCAGTCTGGTTTTAAAATCCCAGGTCCTCACTGGCCATATCTTCTACCTTCAGCCTTAGTCCACTTCTTTCTCCCTTCCTGGAGTTTCCATGCTTTTCTGTGTAAAAATTCCTCTAACATCCCACAGACTATTCAAGGGCAATTTTAGACACAATTAAATCTTTTTTCTTCAATGTAGAGGTATTAGTTTCAGTATCAAATATGTGATATTTATACACTGCTTGTGTAACACAAAATCCTTCTTACACTAGCATTATATTTCCTTCAGTTGGTTCAAATTTCCTAGTTCCTTTTATTATTTTTAGCTGAATTTTTATTCTGCATCTAGAACAAAAAATAGTAAAATTAAGTTTGATTAATGTATTTTTATCAAAGTTCTGTTTGCACAATTTTACATTGATAAAATTTGAAATTTATCTCAAACTGAAATGATGCTGCAGAATAGTAGTTCAAAAGTAAATCAAGAGTTCAGCAAATCAGTAATATGAAAATCCGAATTACTAAATTCATACAAAATAAAATTGATTGGCAACCTTGTAAGAACTATGTTACTGGATGATATGAAATAATATATGATTCTTGGTTTCAAGTTGCATTAAATATAAGGAGTAAAATAACAAAAAACTGCAAAATTAAGATTTAAATATCTTTAGAAAAGATAGTTTTTACCATATCACACTTTTGTTGAAAGGTAAATTAGAAAACTGAAATGATCAAGGTTTTAGAAAGAAAACACAGGAAGAGAAGATATACCTCACAATAATGAGTACCACAATTTTTATTATATTTATTCTTGTATTTATAATTTAGATTCTCTGATTTTCCTCCACTATCAATATAATATTCACTGTTGTTCTTATGCTTCACAGACTCCAAATTTCATTTACAAAGAGTGATTGGTTTGTTTAACATATTGTCTGCAGAAAAAAAACATGCACCAATTCATTTTCTTACTTAATTTCTGTCATTATTTTAATGATGTGCCAAATTTCTGTATATTTTAATTTAATTATTTAACAGCGGTTCACTGATTGAAACTATAAACACAATTACAAAGAGTAAAATGTGTGACTTAGATCAAGTAACTTACAAATAAATCATTCTGAGTAGTTCCATATATCTCTCACTTAAACTAAGTGGCAAAATGAAATATTTTAGAACTCTCCACAGGAGAGAGGAGAAAAAGAACGTGAACAAATTGAATAGCAATAGCAGCTTTTCAAATGGAAGAAGAACAGGAAAAATGAGGTTGTTATTTTTGTTTTAATGTCTATAGATTACCAGAAAATAGTTTCCTCTTAAGCATAAATAGCCAAAAATATCACTTGGTAGAAAGTTATTTTTCTAAGTGTTTGATGTAATTGAAACATTTTGTGCTTTCTGCATTAGCTTAAATTGTAGGATTATTTTCATCATAGTTGATGCCTGTCAGGTAAAAACACCATGAAATTATTTTAGTTTAGGTTCATAAATTTTAATCATTTGAAATCAGATACAAAGACAAATATGCAGTATGATAAAACAAAAATTTAAGACATTAGATATTTGTTCGATTTTTGATAGAGTTGGTGATAAGGTGTAGCTTCTGTGTTTTATTTAGAAAAAGAATTCTTGTTAATATTTGGTGGAGTTAATGAAAGCACTACAGCTGGTTGGACTATTTGAGACCTCTATTGGACACAGTGTGTAAGATTACTCTCAGAATCACTAATTTCAGACAAAGGAAAAAAGTTTAAAGAAGTAAGTCAAGATTGACATTTTGGTATCCCAAATACTTAGTAATTTAAACTTTAATGCTCTCTATTTTAAACTGTATTATACAAAGAGAATGTTGGCAACTAATCAGTAACAATGCATTTGCATCAACCTATACTACTTTTACTTGTAAACCCAATGAAATTTTGGGCCATTAAAGGATATATATGAGGAGCCCATACAGAGATCTCAAGTATTATATTGGCAAATATTAATATCAAATAAAAATTTATTGAAATATATAGCATGGTTATGGTTATATTAATTATAAAATATGATGGTTAAACAGCTTTCAAGTCAGGATATTTCATCACAGTCAGAAAAAAAACTTGAATTCATGTTTAGAATTTGAGAATTCAATTACATTTCTACCAAACCATATGGGATAGATGACCTACATCCCTTGAGTATTTTCCTGGTTCTTCTCATGCATACTTACCTGAAAATAACTTAAAATTGTAAAAGATTATTAAACACTGGAAATGTTATGCACTGTCTAGGTTCTGCAGGCATAATGGTTGATAAGTCAAATATGCTGTCAGCCTCATTGAATCTATAGTCTTGTATAAAAGTGGTGCTATGAAATTGTATATCATATTCTTAAGCTAGATAAGAGTATGAGGGAAAAAAGGCAATGAGATGGGCACAATTAGAAAATAAAGAAAGTGTTCTCTGAAAAAGGGGCCTCAATGCTCAGGCTTGAAGTCAGTGAATAAACTGACTAAATGAAAACATAGGGTGACGAACACCTCCAATAAAACAAATAGTAAAGGGAAAAAAAGCCATGAAAATCAAACAAGCAAAACAAAACCCCCTGATTTCCAGTAAAAGTGGTGCCGGAAGGCATTTCAAAGTTACCGGATCAGGAAAAAAAAAATGGGGTTAGATGTAAAAATGGAGAATTGTGGACACTGGGATTCTGACTGAAGCCATGGAAACGGCAGACATTTTTAAGGGAGAATAATGCCAAGATTCCAGATCTGGGAAAATCTTATGTTAAAGCATCCTGTAAAGGAGATAAGGCATTCATAAGAGACAGATAGAAACATCTACAGGATTTGGAAGAAGTCCAAGAAAATGTTATTAAGGCCAAATAAACAGGTATATCCACATTAAAAATTAATGAGATCTTAATATAAAGACCAAATAATAATACCTTTTGCAATGAACTTACGAAGAAACCTATTTATCTTCCAAATAAAATTCTAGACAGAAATGCACAAACATAATTAAAAAATTAATCCCTGGATACTGAGAATGAGGGTGATGTTTTTCTTCTTTTCAGTTTTCCATATTTAATGTTTATATATCAATTATGTGATAAATCTGGAATTATTTCTTCCATAACTGTTTAGATATGATCTTTTTTTACTTTTCCCTGTATAGAAGAGGTATTTTAACAGTATCTACTAAAGTAAAGCCAATGAAAATGATTAGTGTTTTCAAGCAGTTACCAAGGAATTGCTCATTTTAAACAAGTTCTAGGCAAATAAGTGAAGATAAAAAATGAAATCAGCATATTTGAATATTCATAAATGTTTATTAAATGAGAACAACAAAAAGGGAATTTTTTTAAAGAAAAAGTAAAATATTTTTATATTAAGGAAAAGACAAAGTATGCAAAATACAAAAGAACTGTTTTTTAAAAGAGGAATTTTTAGATATACAATCCTTATAAATCCAACTACATTATTAAAATTACCAAAAATAAGCATAGAAAATAAAGGTATTATTGACCCTTAATATTATAAAATTACAGAAGGATACTAAACATATGTTGATTTCTCAAGAACACACATTATTTTTATAGTAGGTTAGAAGTTGCAATCTAATTTCAATTAGAAATGTTTTCATAAATATTTATCAAGATGGGTAATGTTTCTAACTGTCATTCAATGTCAAAAGTTTGGATCTATGTCATAAGGTAGTACCTTTTCATTTTATTTTATACATTGGAACTATGAAACAAAATTTAGTAGAAAGCAGACTAGCTTGAACCATAATTAAAAGGTTTTATTAAAATACCAAAGGAGTCATCTTAAAAAGAAGCCTTTGTTATAATGCAATTTCATACTTTGATTGCAATTCTAATGCACAGTATATTTTATAAACCAATAAATATGTGAAAAAATAATCAAAGAAATTAAAGAACACCTCTAAATTAAAAAGCATTCAATAAGTTTCTGACTGAAGTTTTTTTTATATATTGGGGAAACTTTCCTTCTTGATAATGGAATAGATATTGAACAAAGTTTCAGCATTGTTTTTACATATTGCTCATTTAATAAAAAGTGCAATGATAAGATGCCAAAAAGCAGAAAGCTATTACTAAGCCCTTTGGATATTTATGGCGTTTAGTGAAAATATTGATAGAATGTTCACCAGACACTAGGTTCTTGGCACTCTAAAGCAAAAATCACTGTTTGCTTCTTTATAGGTTGACTGGTAAAAAATATATCGCGTTGCAATTTACAAGTTTTCCAAATGAGTTTTAAGAAACATAATGAGTACAGAATTTTCAGAATGTGCCTTATTTCCACTCACCAAAATATTGTAATTTTATTTTCTATATTGATAAACACATGGGCTACATATTAGAAACTCCTTAATCAAAGTGACATATGTGCTTAGTTTGGAATCTAATTTTAGCTAATTAAAAGGCATGCATGCGAACTGGATTGTTTCTCACACGACAAAAGCAACAGATGTGCTTAGAAACAAGAGAATCATTAACAAACTGAAATGATAGGGAGATGAGCACTGTCATGGTGACATAAAAGTTCAGATTGAGCTGATTCTCATTAACTGTAGGCTGGCAGAACCTGGAGAAGTCTAGGTAGACAACACCAAAAAACGCACGAATATAATATTGGCAAATAGTGTTCTTAATAAAAATTCAGCTAAGACACTGCAAAGCTGTCTACTACTCAGGAACCACTAAAGCAATTAGATATATAAAACTTTGAATGTTATTAAGGTTACAGTAGTTAGACATGCAGACATAAGCAGGTGATATGGTCTGGCTGTGTCCCCACGCAAATCTTATCTTGAATTGTAATAATCTCCATGTGACAAGGGTTGGGCCAGGTGGAGACAACTGAATCTTAGGGGCAGTTTTCTCCCATACTGTTCTCATGGTATTGAATAAGTCTCAGGAGATCTGATGGTTTTATAAAGAGGAGTTACCCTGCACAAGCGCTCTTGCCTGGTGCCATGTAAAACGTGACCTCGCTCCTCATTTGCCTTCAGCCTGATTGTGAGGCCTCCTCAGCCATGTGGAACTGTGAGTCAGTTAAACCTGTTTCTTTTATAAATTACCCACTCTGAGGTATGTCTTTATTAGCAGCATGAAAACAGTCTAATACAGTAAATTGGTACCACAAAGAGTGTGGTGCTGCTGTAAAGATACTCAAAAAGATGGGAGCAACTTTGAAACTGGATAACAGGCAGAGTTTGGAAAAGTCTGGAGGTCTCAGAAGAAGATAGGAAGATGTGGGAAAGTTTAGAACTTCCTGGAGACTTGTTGAATGGCTTTAACCAAAATGTCGATAGTGACGTAGACTATAAAGTCCAGGCTGAGGTGGTCTCACATGGAGATGAGGAACTTGTTTGGTACTGGAGTAAAGGTCACTCTTGCTATGCAAAGAGACTGGCAGCATTTTGCCTCTGCCCTAGAGATCTGTGGAACTGTGAACTTGAGAGAGGTGATTTAGGGTATCTGACTGAAGATGTTTGTAAGTGGAAAAGTGTTCAAGAGGAAGCAGAGCATAGAAGTTTGGAAAATTTGAAGCCTGACAATGCAGTAGAAAAGAAAATCCCATTTTCTGGGGAGGAATTTAAGCCAACTACAGAAATTTGCATAAGTAAAAAGGAGCCAAATGCAATGTCTCCAAGACATGTCAGAGGTCTTCACAGCAGCTCTTCCCATCACAAGCTGGGAGGTGTAGGAGGAAAAAATGGTTTTGTAGGCCAGGCCCAGGGCCTTGCTGCTTTGTGCAGTCTCAGGACTTGGTGTCCTGTGTCTGAGCAGTGGCTAAAAGGGGCCAATGTGGAGTTCAGGCTGTTACTTCAGAGGGTGTGAGCTCCAAGCCTTGGTGGCTTATGTGTAGCGTTGAGCCTGTGGGTTTACACAGAAGTCAAGAATTAAGGTTTGGGAATCTCCATCTAGATTTCACAGGATGTAAGGAATGCCTGGATATCCAGGCAAAGGTGTGCTGCAGGGGAGGAGTCTTCATGGAGAATCTTTGCTAGAGCAGTGAGGAGGGGAAATCTGAGGTTGGGGACCCTAGACAGAGTTCTCAGTGGGGCACTGCCTAGTGGAGATGTGAGAAGAGGGCAACATAGCAAAACCCCATCTCTACAAAAAATACAAAAAAATTAGCAGGGGATGGTTGTGTGCACCTGTAGTCCCAGCTACTCAGGAGGCTGAGTTGGGAGGATCACTTGAGGTGGGGAAGCAGAGGTTTCAGTGAGCCAGAATGATGCCACTGTGCTTCAGCCTGGACAATGGAGCAGGGCTATCTCAAACTTTTTTAAAAAAGTGATTTAAGTCAAAGTTGGATACATTTTTTATTCACATAAAAATTTATTATCACATAATCAAAGTGGTTGTTTCTTTCTTATATACAAATGTATCTTAAAAAGTTGATATCACATAAAAATGCAGGACTCTCAAGAATGAGTTTTTACTCATGTCTCCAACTCTAATCCATTACTACATGTATCATTCTAGTTGGAGATATTAAATACAAATGGCTTCATATAGAAGTATTTTATATATTTGTATATGGTTTCTAATATTCTCTAATGAAAGGATAAATAGTTAATTCTAAATTTAGGGCAGGAAATATACAGGATGATCTTGGAGCTTAAAGTTATTCCAGAAAGTAAGAAAGTGCTGGAATACACACACACACACACACACACACACACACACACACACACACAATGATAGGCTATGTCAAAGGGACATAGGAACCAGCAAAAAGAGATTTCAATGGCCAGAGCTAAAACAATTTGAATAACAAAATTAAGTAGTACTGTGTTATAATCCACAGAATAAATATTAATGTGCTAATATTGCTATAAATGAATGATTGAATAAGTAAATAAATGAGGGAAAAGGGACTAATTTCACACAAAGTGTAATTTCAAAGTGTTTATGTAGGTATTCTTTAGGAGTTAGAGTTTCACTCCCTGCTATTTAAGTATAGTCTATGTACAGTGCCTTCCTTCCAGATTACAGTATGGAAAAGAGGGAGAAAAAGTATAACTTTGCAGTATAGAAAACAATCAAACATAACCACAACCAGGAAATCAAGGTCAACATCAATGGTGATGTCATTGATCGTGTGTTCCCTTCATATGATGTAATGTTAATGGTACTTCTGTGTTCTTTCTTCAAAGAAACTCATAACTTCGCACAAATTCTAATTCAGGAATGGTCCACAGAGTTGAGGTAATCAAAGACAAGGAAAGTCTGAAAAAATTTTACAGCCAAGTGTAGCCTAAGGAGACATGATGATTAAATGTAATGTTGTATCTTATATGGTATCCTGCATCAGAAAAAGAACATTAGGTAAAAACTAAAACTATATAGAGTGGACTTTAGTTAATTATAATGTATCAATATCAGTTCATTAATTGTGACTATTGTGATATACTAATGTAAGACATTAATAATAGGAGAAACTAGCTGTAGGATATAATGGATGCTATTGTAATTTTTCTGTAAATCAGAACTGTTCTACATTAAAAGTTTATTAAATACATACACATCAAGTGTAGTATAAGGTGTGAAATTGACATGAAATATTAATGTGCTTTCTTGACATCTGAAGGTAGAAGGGCCTCAAATACCCTAGCCACACATTTTACTGCACATTATGTTCCCACAAATATTTTCCCCTAATCCTTATCATGAGGACCAGCTACAGTGCCTGCTTATCCCTGAGTAATGGGCTTCGGTGCCCCAACAGCAGCCCATGGAATTACTTGAAAAAGATAATCATACCCTCATCTGGAACCCAGGGGTCACCTGGCTCACCTCAATTTCTTATTAATATACAGCTTGCCTTCCACAGCCCAGCTTGTTCACTCTGCTCCAAAATAAAACCCCATATTGGCCTGTGTGGCCCATGGTGTCCTCTACTCCTGGGCTGTATGCATATGTGACTAATAAACTGCTGCAAATATTATCCTGCCAGTGTCAGGGTTTGTATGTTCTGCCATCTCCATAACCCTGAGATGAAAATTATTCCCTCCACAATGAGGTGAAGGGAAGGGACAAATCCAAGTGAAAGTGGCCAAAACTTTAGAACCTGAACTATCTCACTACATCTATTTTGTAACTGTTTTCAATTTCTTAACTACCCAAAATATGCCTCTCTACTAATCTTCCCCTTTTTCTTACTACTACTTGGTTTCTAAATACAACTCCTAATTTCTGGCTGTATTTATTAGACATTGTTTTTTCTCCATTTAGAAAATCTGAATTCCTGAGGAATTTATGGATGCTGGGTAATGGCTCCACCACCACATGTAATCACCCTGAGATGTTCTTTGTTACAGCTTCTCTTCAAGAACATTGCTTCGATTTGCCTTTTGAAAACTTGTGGTTATGGCTTAGATACATCTGGTGAAAACACAAATACTTCATAATACTGTATCTCAAAAGTATGTATGACATGGTAAAAATTACAAATATTAATGGTTTTGCAGTAAAACCTACCATTTTATGTGCATTATGTTGATTTAGATGTATTTTTAAAAAGAAAAGATTTGTTTAGGGAGTACTTATCTGCCAGTCTCCAGCCACTAATACATGTTATCTGTGAGATTAAATATATGAGGAGTTGAGGAGCTTAAAGCTTTGAAATAGTGACTGATTAAAATAGAATAAATAAAATAGGTTTGCTAAATAATAGAGGCTCATCTGAGATGGATCAGAACTCTCTTTTTGAATTACTATTTACTCTTCTCTAAAACTATCTAGATTTTATCTTTATTTTCAGGACACATTTTCAGTCATTACTGTATCATAAAATAACGAGGTCATATTTTTTCCATCTTCTATTCAATTAATTCAAATAACACTATTAGTCAGAATTTTTTAAAAAACTGATATTTTCTACCCTATATCAGAAGCTCTGGTAGATTAAGGATTATTTCATAAACTTTTTTTTAACATTTTTGGCTCCACCCAGGACATCAGTTTATTGACTTCTCTATCTGCTTCACTGTCCCTAACATTTCTTCCCTCTTCACTCCCAGCTTTGACTCTGCATTCTTTCATTGCAATCATGTCTTCACAATTACCTTCAGCATCATTGTCTCTCTTTCTATGACACTTAACTGGAAAAAATCTCAACTCAGACTAAGGTAAATTATATGGTTTGGCTCTATCTCCACCCAAATGTCATCATGAATTGTAGCTTCCATAATTCCCACGTGTTGAGAGAAGGACCCAGTGGGAGGTAATTGAATCATGGGGGCAGGTCTTTCCCACTCTGTTTTATGATAGTGAGTAAGTCTCACAAGATCTGATGGTTTTATAAAGGTGAGCTCCCCTGCACACGCTCTCTTGCCTGCCACCATGTAATATGTGACTTTGCTTCTCATTTTCCTTGCACCATGATTGTGAGGCCTCCTCATCCATGTGGAACTGTGAGTCAATTAAACCTCTTTCCTTTATAAATTACCCACTCTCTGGTATGTCTTTATTAGTAGCATGAGAAAAAAAAACTAATGCAGTAAATATAATAAAACACATGTGCAGGCATGTGCACATGAGCACACATGCACACATGCAAACACCCTTACCACTGCTGCGTTAAATTTAGGATCATGAAAATCAAGTGAAATTTTAATGATGACAAAAATTCTTCTACATTTTCCTAGAATCCCAGTGGTTCCCAACTTTATCAGTCAGAATAATCTAGATAATGCTGTGTTAACAAGCAACCCCTAAACTTTAGTGTAAGGATACAAAACAAAAACAAAAGTAAAAACAATGGCTTATCATAGTTCTTACCACTCAAAATCTGTAGCAATACTGGGAAACTTTCTTGGACAGCTATCATGTAAGTGTGACTAGCATTCACCCTTACAACATCTTATAATTCCATGATGCTGGGTCAGGAAAGGAGTTCTCTGGGACATGAATTCTTCATCAATTGATTGCCTGAGATAGATCTCCCAGATAAGTGAAACACATTCAAATGGAAAAATTGAGTCAAATAATGACATCCAACCTCAAAGTAGAAGAAAATTGAAGTCACTGCCAAATACAAGTGTCACATTTCACAAATACAGGATGCCCAATTAAATTCAAATTTTAGGTACAAAATGAATAATTGTAATAGAATCATACACCATGCAATATTTAGAAAAATATTTTTACTAAAATACTGATCACTGTCTATAATGTAATTGAGTGTCCTGTGTACTATCTGGAAACCCTATACTCAAATATGCAGAGAATTGAAAATATTGTTGAACAGTACTATGTATACTACTGCAAAATTGTCATATCATTGCTCATTTTTAAAAAGTTACAGTATTCATGCTCTTTTGAAGCCCCAGTTGAACCAGCTCAGGGAATTTTATTGCGTGACTGCATACCAATTAGTTATCTATGTAATGAATGATGGACATTTTTAAGATACCTATAATGTTGTTAATGCAGATAATGAATCTCAATGTGGCTAAGTTTAATAAGTAATTGACTATCTTCTACATAATCAAAATAATGATGTGCATAAAATTTCTGATTCTGAATGTCTATAATTTCTTTTTAAAATTTCATTCTAAACTGATAACCACTGGGCTAAACAGATCTTCAAATATGTTCTTCTATATACTCCTAAGTTTACTAATGTAGCTTGAAATGATACAGAAAATCATCTGTAGAAAGAGAATAAAGAGGAAATTCTCCTTTTGAATCATTAGTTTTTCTGTCTTCTTATCAGAGTTAATTCTTTAAGTATGGGAAATATCATTCTCAGCTTCAATTGTCTGTTTTTTTTTCTTTTGTTCTTTTTTTTTTTTTGCCAAGATTAAATAAGCACTTTAGGAGTCCATTGACAGAGTTTAACCAGCATGAGTGACTCCAGGGATTACTGTGTGTCCTCCATTGTAGCTCCAAAGAACATAGCTCAGTATTCTGTGTATAATACAAACACCTTAATTGCTTGATGAAAAAATGACGAAAGGTAAAATATACCTACATAATTTTTATTCATCAATGCCTTCCTTAGAGAGCCAATTCTGTAACTTGGCCTTTTATTGAATGAAATGACTTCCAGAAAATTTATTTGCATTCAAATGTGATGCTTGAAATGGAAAAAAAAATACTTTCATACCTGATTCAGTCATCTATATTTAGTATGTCTAATAAAAAATCTGGATGACCTATCTTCCTTTCAAAACTTCAACATTCCACTGTTTTGATCACGTTACTGAAAGAAGACAGCAAAACAAATACTTGAAAAACTCTATTTTAAACACTGTGCTTCTGTGACGGCAGGATATACAAATATGCAGCAAAGTAATACCTTTGAGTCAAATCAGGCCCACACTTTATTGTCACAAAAAAACCAATATCCTGCCATCTGCATGAGTAGGTGTTGCAAAATATTTGAATTATCCAACTTCTGACATTCTGAATTCATATACAATTCAGTTTCACATAAATTTGTTACATGGAAACAAATATGTCTAAAGAAAACGAGTTGCTATCTCATGGCACTGAGTACATTTGAGTATAAATCTGAGAAGACATTATCATGGAGTAGTGAGTTATCATGAAAAAAATAACAGATAACAAAATTAGCATTCACAATAATATTATTTAACTCTAAACAATCCCTTTCAATCCAAATGTTTTGAGGGATTTATAAGACATTTGAAATTTTATCACTAATAATGATTACTTTCAAGCACAAAGACACACAAAATCTTTCTTGGATACTTTTATGATTCCTACATAGTGCTAAAAGAGGAAGAATCTGTCATTTATCTTCTCCAAGGTATATCAGCAAGGCCATATTAAAAATAGAGAAGATATATAACAGAAATTGCTTAAAAATGAATGTTTATCTCAGGATTTCTATTTCTTTTTATGTTGTTAGGAATCAAAATCTATCGTGCACATCATATTATTGCCCACAGTAATCTAAATATCCAAGTTAACTCTCCAACGGGTTGTAAGATGAATAATTGAAATCAAAATCAGTATCTGTTTGATTACAAAATCTATCCTTTTTTCCACCCACCAAAACTCCTATTAGTAAAATTCAGTGTAGTCACATTCCTAGAAATTATTTTTTTAATCAATAAAAGGCATGCACACGTACACACATTGTGTATGTGTAATTGATGCATGCAGGTGAATGTTTATTTTCAAAATTTGTGGATTTAAATTAACATAGTCAGAATTAAGTTAATCCCTTACTGTCTTTTTACATGGAATTCTCATTCTGTAGATCTAAAAGTATTCTTTTCTTTTCTTTTTTTTTTTTTTTCGTGCAGTGGGTACATCTGCAGAATTGTTACATGGGTAAATTGTCTGTCATGGAGGTTTGGTGTATGGATTATTTTGTCACCCAGGTAATAAGCATAGTACCTGATAGGTAGTTTTTTCATGCTCACCCTCCTCCCAGCCTTTCCCTTCAAGTAGGCTCCACTTTCTATTGTTGCCTGATCTGAAGGTATTCATAGTGTTTAGGGTAAACTTCTATGGTTAAAGAGATTAAATTTCTAAAAGATGTTAAATTTCACTTGAAACAAAGAATGATTAAATAGTTTTATGAAATCTGCCAGTTTACAATACTATCATGGATACAGTAAGTACTATCAGGTTTTGGGTCTCCACTTAACTCTTAAAATGCTAAATTTTAGATGATATTAGTGGTTGGAAAATCACTGACATTTTAATGTTTTAAAAATCATTAGACTATTATTTTATTTGGAAATGATTTGACTCACACAGGCCAAGTTTTTTTTAATCAAAATTGTCTTCTAAAATAGCTAAGTTTAGATATCCAAGGTCACTTTTCACTTATTGCTGGATATAGAAAATTATTTATCCCTTTCTTGCTATTGTTGAAAGAAATGTCGAAATTTAAGAACATGATAGATGAGTATCTACGTGGATGTAACTGGAATTGGTTAGCAACAAGCTTTACTGAAAGGCTTCAAATGGCCCTTCACTCATTACTTTCTAGCTCTAAAAGGAAGGTATTCTCTTGTTATCTGGGAAAAATAGAACCAGAGATCTACAGCCTAAGGTGATCAAATTGCCCTAAGTCTAAGTGGTTGTGCTTCTCTCCTTCCTTTTTCCATTAATTTGCCCTTTCTTCAATATAATCTATTACTCTCTCTTCCTTGCTTTGTGAGTATATTTAAAGATGCTTATTTAGAGACCAAAAATATTAACTATTAGTTTGGGTAGAGTCATTGGCATTAATAGAAATATGCCATCACACAATTTTATTTCATTTTATTAATCATTTGTTTTATAGAAACATTCATTTTAAATGAACTAGTTATATCAAAAGATCTCCAAAAAGGTCCTTTGAAATAATAAGTCTATGTGAGCCATATTTTAGACAATGCCACTTGTATAATCAGTTGGATTATAAGCGTTACAGAAGCAAAATTATCTTTATATTCATTTGAATCCATTCTTAAATTTCAAATTAATATGGCATAAAAATTTTGTACATGTAGAATAAACTTAATCTCTATTCATGTATTTGGTTTTAGCAAATGTAAAAGAGTGCATATGTGTGAATTATTTGTGTATTCTATAGAATAAATTCAAATGTGTGTTATAAAAATATCCAGACAGGCTGGGCATGGTGGCTCATGCCTGTAATCCCAGCACTTTGGGCGGCCGAGGTGGGCAGATCACCTGAGGTCAGAAGTTCGAGGCCAGCCTAACCAACATGGAGAAACCCCGTCTCTACTAAAAATACAAAATTAGCTGGGCATGGTGGCGCATGTCTTAATCCCAGGTATTCGGGAGGCTGAGACAGGAGAATCGCTTGAACCCAGGAGGCAGAGGTTGAGGTAAGCCAAGATCGTGCCACTGCACTCCATCCTGGGCAACAAGAGTGAAACTCTGTCTCTCTCTCTCTCTCTCTCTCTCGATCTCTCTCTCTTTCTCTCTCTCTATATATGTGTGTGTGTGTGTGTGTTTGTGTATATATATATCTCCAGCCAACATAATTAAAAATCGATAACATTTACTGAGCCCTTACTTTCTACCAGGCAAAAACAAGTAGAACAGAAAAATACATTATTCTCCCTTAGAATCGAGACTTAGGGAATGAAAGCAACTTGCTGTTCTTGCTGCTAGCAGATTTTAAAGCAGGGGTTTCAATCAAAACATGTTTTACTTCAAAGTCTATCATATTAACAGTACATAGCTGAGTGCCGTGGTTCATGCCTGTAATCCCAGCACTTTGGGAGGCTGAAGTGTGCAGATTGCCTGAGCTCAGGAGTTCAAGAGAAGCCTGGGCAACACGGTGAAAATTCGGCTCTATTAAATACAAAAAATTAGCCAGTGTGGTGGTGTGTGCCTGTAGTCTCAGCTACTCGAGAGGCTGAGGCAGGAGAATTGCTTGAACTCAGGAAGTGGAGGTTGCAGTGAGCCAAGATCACGCCATTGCACTCCAGCCTGGGCGACAGAGCGATCCTCTGTCTCCAAAAAACAAACAATCAAAAAACCAGTACATTATATAGTTTTTCAAAAACATGTAGGAAATCTAGGAACTAATAATTTTATTATTTTAACATCGTTTAATAAAAGTAACTCAGAAAAACACTCTAGCTATGTATACATATCTGCCACAATAGTAATAACATAATCAGCAAAAATAGATTAGTGCTGTGTAATTTTACAAAGAACACAGGTCATTGTGATGACAAATTGGCCCAGAACTACTCTCCTAATGTTTGCAACTGGAAACCCAAACCACAGTTCATATGTTTATTCGCACTTCAGACAATTGTGCACTGGAGAAACACACCATACACACACAAACACATGTATATATCTATGCGTATAGTTGTTGTTTTGCTTTATTAAGAAGAAAATGAGAGCTTGCCAGTTCAGTCTTAAGATACTAGGATGCAAGCTCTCCTCTAATTTTATGGTTGAATCCCAGATTACTGTTTTTGAAAGACAATGTTTATAGAACTGTTTACTAATCTTCTGACTTTCCAAATGTGGATAATCTTGATGGAATTTTTATGACATCTGGCTACTTTAATTTCCTCTTTCCTTTCTGTTTTTCCTAGAGTTACCCATCATTATATATGAAATTTCAGAATCAGCTTTTCTGAGCCAAGTGACCAGTTCCTGCTATTTCTCTTTTCAGATAAATTATTTTCTACTTTGAAGAATACATGTTTTTCCTTGATTCTTCATCCCACCCTTCCCCAGTTGTGTGCTTAGAACACTTATGTTACAGATGCAGAGGTCTGCCAAGAAACCTCTAATTGAGATCAGAAATGGTTTATTCACTAGAATCAAGGAAACAAAAATGGTAGCTTTTTCTATGAAGTTCTTATAATAGCTCATTGAAATGTGGTACAAAATAACACACATATAAATAAATATATGTGCTAGTTAAATTTGTTAATTTGTTTTAGGATTTAATTAATTCCAGTAGGCGTTAGATGTGCAGACTTGTTCTTTCTGTTGATTTTACAGAAGGATGTTTTTATTGAGCTGATCCTTAATCGAATTCTTTTACTCATTCAAACACCCATTAAACTATTTATTTACTTCTACCCTACTGTACATTCTGAGTTTGATACTATGTTGAGATAGAAAGTTGCATATAATATTCCCTGTCTTTCAGCACTTGTTAGTCTCATGCAGGAGACAGAAAAATAAGAGTAAAGGACAATGCATCGCCAATTAGAGTTATGTTTCAAGAGTGAACAGGATAATTTTGGAGAAATCATAGGATGAAGGATCATTTCTTTTGTAACTTGAAACAGAAGAAAATTTCTTAAACTTCTGAATTCAGAATGAAGAATTAATTTTAAAAAGGGGGAAAGAAAATTAATAAACTTTAATCTGTGCATCATAATCTAAGTGAAATAAGCCAGGCACAGAAAGACAAACATTGCATGTTCTCACTTATTTGTGGGATCTAAAAACCAAAAGAATTGAACTCGTGGACATAAAGAGTAGAAGGATAGTTACCAGAGGTTTTGCATTTTAAAAATGTGCTTTAAGTGTTTTATGTTATTAAAATATACTACTAAATGTGTGTAATCACATTATGTATAAATGTGCCATTATGAAGTTGCATTATTTTTGTTTGTAAAGCAAGACATTATACAGATTAATTTCGCTAGTGTTTCATGTCTCTAAACATAGGTTTATATTAGGATTTTATTTAATTATTTATTTATTTTGAGATGAGGTCTCACTCTGTTGCCCAGGTTGAAGTGCAGTGGCACGATCTCGGCTCACTGCAACCTCTGCCTACCCAGTAGCTGGGACTACAGGTGTGAGACACCATGACCGGCTAATTTTCATATTTTAATAGAGACAGGGTTTCACCATGTTAGCCAGTCTGGTCTCACACTCCTGACCTCAGGTGATCTGCCCGCTTCGGTCTCCCAAAATGCTGGGATTATAGGTGTGAGTCACTGCACCCGGCTTAATAAGGCTTTTAATATCTTTAAGTAGCAGCCATTTTTTATATCAGAATAAAAATAAATATAAATATATTTATATTTGCAGGTTGCAGGGGGCGAAAGTTGGGGGTTGGGGTCAGGGCTGGATGAGAGGTGGGATGGTTAATAGGTACAAAACAAAATAGTTAGGGGCTGAACTTCTTAACATATAAAGAACATGAGAATAAATAAATGCCAAAAAAAGGTAGAAAATGGAAAACAGCTTATGACCTATTGAACAATGTGTTCATGGATGAAGAAATGAAATGTTTCTTAGTATAAAGTGAATCACAATAGATTAAATTTCCTACTTATTGGATTAACAAAACTTAAAGTTCAATATTACCACTCCTTGTGAAGTTACAGGACATAGGGCTCTCTCATATACTGCTGATGCAAATTATAAATTAAACAATACATATGAAAGAAAGGACATATTATAATATTTATCCTTTGACAATCCCAGTACAGAGAATCTATTAAAAAATACAACAGCAACATTTGAAACAATGCATGACCATTATATTATTTATAGAAATTGCAAGAGTAAAACTAATCCAATATTCATTGTTATAGATCCCACTGAACTATAACGTATTTACTGAATGGGATATTATGCCATAAAATGTAAAAAAAAATTGTATTATATAATAAAATGATTTTCAGGATTTACTTTTAATATCAGAAGATATTTTGGAATTCTACCATTAGTACAAAACTTTGCTTTTTATGTGAACTTTGGAGTATTTATATATACATGTACATACAAATGCATACATAAGCCCCCTTGCTTATTTTTGTAACAGGAAAACACATACAAGAAAGAAAAAAAAAGGTGACAGTAATAGAAAACACATGGAAATGACAGACATGAAAGTGTGATTTTCTAAACTGATTTGAAGACATATTTTCAAAATACACATTTGAAGGGTAAAATTAATTTTAAAAAGGCAAAAACTGGAATTTAAAAACAAGCCAAAACAAATAAACCTAATTTTTTTCAAGTTGGTGACATATCTCAACTTAAAAAAATCATTTCAAATGGTTTTAAAGCACAATATTTAGCATACACATCAGTATTTAGAATATATTCTACAGGAAAAAAAATAAACTGCAAAGAAATCTTAAACTCAATTTAGTAGTGTAAATGTTAACTAATGTTGGTATTAGTATTTGAAAATAAACTTAAATAATATGCATAATTTGTATAATTTAGCATATGGAAATGTTCAAGTTGTAATATTAGTTAAAATACACAATACTTTAACATCAAATAATCTCAACATTTAATTACATTATTGATGGCTTATATTTTCAGAATTTACCTCCACATTTGACAGTCACTGAAAAGTATAAAATATATTTATATTTATTTTTATTCTGATATAAAAAATGGCTGCTACTTTAAGATATTAAAAGCCTTATTAAGCCGGGTGCAGTGACTCACACCTATAATCCCAGCATTTTGGGAGACCGAAGCGGGCAGATCACCTGAGGTCAGGAGTGTGAGACCAGACTGGCTAACATGGTGAAACTCTGTCTCTATTAAAATATGAAAATTAGCCGGTCATGGTGTCTCACACCTGTAGTCCCAGCTACTGGGTAGGCAGAAGTTGCAGTGAGCCGAGATCGTGCCACTGCACTTCAACCTGGGCAACAGAGTGAGACCTCATCTCAAAATAAATAAATAATTAAATAAAATCCTAATATAAACCTATGTTTAGAGACATGAAACACTAGCGAAATTAATCTGTATAATGTCTTGCTTTACAAACAAAAATAATGCAACTTCATAATGGCACATTTATACATAATGTGATTACACACCTTTAGTAGTATATTTTAATAACATAAAACACTTAAAGCACATTTTTAAAATGCAAACAATTTTGAATTATAAAACTTAAAGAGAGTGTGCATGTGTATATAAAGTGGTATATAATTACACTGTATTAGACAACACAAAGTGTTTTTGGTGTGTATGCTTTTATGCAGAGAGAGGGTCATTTTATTTTAGTCTCCTAATGAAAATTTTGATTTTTCCAGAGCTGGATACTCTGACAGTTTGCTCTTGTTATATGTGTTCTTTCTCTTTGCTCCAATGTCCTGAATCTCCTCTGTGCTCATGTACTTCTCATTGCTTTGACACATACTTCCCTAGGGAGTCTTGGGAGAAGGGTAAATGCTTTTAGTGATATATGATATTGTAAATTTCAATGACTTGACTATTGATCATGTGGTCTGACATAGTCTAAACAATGGCATAGAGAAATCACCTAAGACTCACCTTTTCTAAGAATTACTTTCCCTATCAAATGTGATTCGTCTTTCTTTTTAGTTTTCTTCAAATCGATTGTACAAAATAATTCAATATTTATTATTCATATGCGGAGTAATTTGGTATTGTAGTTCTGATAAATTGTTAATTGTATACACATTTCCAAATTTTTTTTTAAGTCATATACAGTATGTTTAATAGATCAATAGATAGATGATCATTATTAATATACATATAAGCAAAATAATTAAGATTTTAAGCAAGAGCAAAGAATAGACACAACACTTATCGGGGGTTCAAACTTGTTTTTGATTAAAAAAAGAAAGCACTTAAACATTTATTTTATTAGCCCCAAATTTAAAATTATGACTCTGAGAACAGTACTTGAGTATTTGACAAGAAAAAGACTTGCTAAGTCTCCAGAACTAGATACTAGAACAAGCACTAGAACTATCTAAAGTTCTAGTATCAGTTCTGACATTTTCAGGATGATCAAAAGCAAGAAACTGAAAATAGCTTTGCCTTATTTGGTGTATTTTTGCAGATAAGATATATTTAAAGCCATTTCAAGTCCTAAAATGTTGTGTTTCTCAAACTGAAGTACAAAATACGTATGATTTCTTACAACTAAAAATAAATTGTAAATCGTGTTCATTGAAAAAGACTTAATAGAATGAAGTAAAATTTGAACAGAGACCTAAAGTAACTTAATTGTTGCTGCAAAACTCCATGCCCAGGTGGAGGTAATTTGGGGTTGGTTTGTTACAATTGATCAATTATACCTGCTGTTTTTCCTTCCCCTTCACTTTATAGCAAAACTCCCCCAAATAGTTGTTTTGGCCTCATCTCCAGCTCATCACCTCCTACACCCTCAGTTATATTCAATTATGTTTTTAGCCTCCTTTTTCCCTTAAGTCCATTCTAATCAAAGTCACTAAATGACAACCAAATTGTTAATTCCTGGAGTCAGTTCCTAGCTTTCACCTCAGCAGCATTCCCCACACTTTAGTCTTCACTCCTTTGAATGCTTTCTCCACTCCTCTTCTAGAAAACTCTTTTTTTTTTTCTTTTTTTTTTTTTTATTATACTCTAAGTTTTAGGGTACATGTGCACATTGTGCAGGTTAGTTACATATGTATACATGTGCCATGCTGGTGCGCTGCACCCACTAATGTGTCATCTAGCATTAGGTATATCTCCCAATGCTATCCCTCCCCCCTCCCCCGACCCCACCACAGTCCCCAGAGTGTGATATTCCCCTTCCTGTGTCCATGTGATCTCATTGTTCAATTCCCACCTATGAGTGAGAATATGCGGTGTTTGGTTTTTTGTTCTTGCGATAGTTTACTGAGAATGATGGTTTCCAATTTCATCCATGTCCCTACAAAGGATATGAACTCATCATTTTTTATGGCTGCATAGTATTCCATGGTGTATATGTGCCACATTTTCTTAATCCAGTCTATCATTGTTGGACATTTGGGTTGGTTCCAAGTCTTTCCTATTGTGAATAGTGCCGCAATAAACATACGTGTGCATGTGTCTTTATAGCAGCATGATTTATAGCCCTTTGGGTATATACCCAGTAATGGGATGGCTGGGTCAAATGGTATTTCTAGTTCTAGATCCCTGAGGAATCGCCACACTGACTTCCACAATGGTTGAGCTAGTTTACAGTCCCACCAACAGTGTAAAAGTGTTCCTATTTCTCCACATCCTCTCCAGCACCTGTTGTTTCCTGACTTTTTAATGATTGCCATTCTAACTGGTGTGAGATGATATCTCATAGTGGTTTTGATTTGCATTTCTCTGATGGCCAGTGATGATGAGCATTTCTTCATGTGTTTTTTGGCTGCATAAATGTCTTCTTTTGAGAAGTGTCTGTTCATGTCCTTCGCCCACTTTTTGATAGGGTTGTTTGTTTTTTTCTTGTAAATTTGTTTGAGTTCATTGTAGATTCTGGATATTAGCCCTTTGTCAGATGAGTAGGTTGCGAAAATTTTCTCCCATGTTGTAGGTTGCCTGTTCACTCTGATGGTAGTTTCTTAATTCAAGATGGATTAAAGATTTAAACGTTAGACCTAAAACCATAAAAACCCTAGAAGAAAACCTAGGCATTACCATTCAGGACATAGGCGTGGGCAAGGACTTCATGTCCAAAACACCAAAAGCAATGGCAACAAAAGCCAAAATTGACAAATGGGATCTAATTAAACTAAAGAGCTTCTGCACAGCAAATTTTTTGATAAAATCCTTCTGTTGATGAAATACAAACATTTGAAAACCTTTAAAATTTTCCTTTTCAAGTTCTATTAAGGTAAAACCTGCACATATTTTGAAAATACCATTGAGCAGGTATTTTAAAACTTAGAATTTTAAAAAGTCTTCTGGCCTAGTCCTCAGTTCTGTTTTATAGAAGTCATTGCCTTTTACAGATTTGTACATTTCTTCTGGTATCCACGCTAAATAGCAAGTATCATCTCATTTCTAGATCACTTGATTTTAGAATTAAGCAATTTATTTTTTATTAATTAGATGCAGATTTAGCTGCCTTAAACTACTGCCATCTTATTCCTACTAACAACATCTTAAGCATTTATAAAATACATTTAATCAAGCATGTATGTTCTCAAATGAGATAACTTTTCAACATGATTTTCTATGTTGGCAATAGTTTTAAAGCCGTATGTATCTTACATCAGTTACAGTAAACTTAAAATGCAATAAAAACTTCTATTTCATAAGATTCTCAAAGATTTTTGAGGGTGTTTTTTACTAATCATCTAGCTTAACTGTAACATTTCTCTTTTAAAGCAACTGGCCAGATGAAATTTCTTTTAAAACTTTCAGCTAGAGGAAAGCTTCAGGCAAAATAATTTTACTGACATAAAACACTGACAGGGCACAGATTCATATGTAGACTTACAATCTTCTTGCAGACTCATTGTAACCAAAAAGAGATTTTTAATCCCCAAATCTTTGTGTGTTCCTCCATTGCAATTTAAATCTGTCTTAGTAAATTCTAAAAATTATATTTTAGCTTTGCATAATTCATTACTGACAAGAATATATTTTGGCATATTTTAAAGCCTGCTCCTGATAGGGAGAAAGGTTTGAAGTTTTCATGACACTAAATTTGAATATAACTTGGGTCAAAATGTTTTTCACTAAAGCAGTACACATTTGATTCAGTATTAGATTAATGTCTTTTATGATGGAGAGTCACTGACTTTGATAGAGATCAGTCAAATTGAATAAAAGTGATTACCCAAAGGAGACATGGAAAATGAATGTGGATAGTGAAAATAAAACACATTGAAATGTGTGAGATTCTGCAAAATCAATGTTTAGAGAGAAATTTGTGGCTTTGAATGCTTACATTAGGAATAAAGAAAAGGTTAAAGTCATTTATCTAAGTTTAAACATTAAGAAGCTAAACAGATTCCTTCCTGGAGAGTCCAAGGACATCTCTTTTTATCTCTCATTAAGCAGAAATTAGTCACCTGTTCATACCTAGCTGCAAGGAAGTCTAGGGGAAAAAAAAAAATTTCTAGTTAGATGTATTTCTAACCTAAATCCAGTTGAGATATCTTGTGAATGAGAAGGGAAGTATGGATACTGTCTGGCAACTCAGTCTCTGCCAAACAACTAAAAATAGAGATCAAAACTAAGGGTCACCCTGGCAGTACCTGATGAAGCTGAAGTGACCCTTTCTGCATACATCTATATTTTCTTAAGTAGAACTAATATTAAAATCGAAACTATCAACATTCTTGAAGGGATGATTTAGGTGAATCTACAACCCACATAATAGGTCAAGAAAGGCAAGAAAAAACATCCTATTATCTATTTTGTATAGGTTAAAATTATTTATTTCACGAATATTTATGGAATACTCATCATATGGCAAATTCTAGTCTATATATTAAAAATATGAAGATAAGTCAGACAAGGTTTCTACTTACATGGAACTTACGGGCTGGTGAGGGTATAAACTAAAAATAAATAAATAATCCACTTTAAGTATCCAGATGAAAATAAAATAGAGTGGGATAGTGTAGTAAGTGGGGCTGCTTCAAAATGGATGTTAAGGACAATCTCTCTGAGGAGGTGGCATTTGAGCTGATAATTAAATTAATGAAGTTGATTTTGTAACTTAATTCTTTAGAAATACTAAAATCTTTATTTTATGCAGTATGAACTGACTATCCATATATAAGTTACAATTTTTTGCTGCCTTATAACTAAAATTCATCAATTGTATCCTCAATTGTAGTTAAATCATTTAAATGATTTCCTCTCCCTGTGTTTGTTTTCCTCTCTTAAAAAGGGATAATTCCCCCAGCCCAGTAAAACCAGTCACGTTAAAAGAATTTTTTATTGTTGTAAAAACCATATAAGATTAAATTTATCATATCAAATATTTTATGTGTACACTTCAGTAGTGTTAAATATATTCACATTTCCTTGCAACAGAACTCAAGAATTTTTTCTCTCTCAATACTAAAACTCTATACTCATTAAATGCTAATTTTCCCTCCCCACTCCCCCCAGCTCTTGGCAACTACTTTCTTTCTGTTTTAAAAATTTGATTTCTTTATATGCATAGATTTATGCAATATTTCTTCTTTTTTGACTGGTTAATTTCACTTAGCATAATGTCTTTGAGATTCATCCATGTTGTAGTATGTGACACCATTTCCTTCTTTTTTAAGCCTGCAAAATATTATTTTGTGTGTGTGTTTATATATATATATATGCACACACACACCCCCTACATTTTCTTTACTGATTTGTTGGTGGAAATTTGTGTTGCTTTAACATCTTAGCTACTGTAGATTATGCTGCAATAAACATGGTGTGCAAATACCTCTTCAAGATACTACTTTCAGTTCTTTTGGATATGTACACAGAAATGAGACTGCTGAATCACACTGTCATTTTATTTTTTATTTTTTGAGGAAACTCCAGATTGTTATTCATAATGGCTGTGCCATTTTACATTCCCGTAAATAGCGCCAAAGTGTTTCAATTTCTTTCTTCCTTGTTAACACTTGATATTTTCTCTTCTTTTGATAGTGACCACCCTAATATACATGAAATAATAGCTCACAGTTGTTTCTCTTATGATTGGTGATGTTAGGATCTTTTTATATGCTTGTTGGCCATTTGAATATTTTATTTAAAGAAATGTGTATTCAAATCCCTTGCCCATTTTTTAATTGGGTTATTTGTTATTTTGTTGTTGCTGAGTTGTAGAAGTTGCTTAGATATTCTGAATATTAACTCCTTTTTATATATTATTTGAAAATATTTTCTCTTCTCATTTAGGTTGTTTTTTCAATGTTTATTGTTTCCTTTGATATGCAAATGATTATGTATTTGATAAAGTTCCTTTTTTCTATTTTGACTTTTGTTAACTGTCCATTTAGTATCATATCCAAGAATACATTGACAAATCCAATTCTCTGAAGCTTTCTCCCTCTGTTTGTTTCTAGGAGTTTCATAATTTTAGGTCTTACATTTATATATTTAATATATTTTGAGTTAACATTGTAGTTGATGCAAACAAAATAAGGGCCTAACTTCATTCTTTTACATGTAGATATTCAGTTTTCTCAATACCATTTATTGGAGAGGCTCTCCTTTTTCTGCTGTGCAGTCTCAGCACCCTTGTCTATATATTATTTGTGCAAGCATTTATTTCTAGGCTTTCTATCATGTTCCATTGGACTATATAATCTGCCTTTTTGCCAGTACTACATAGTCTTGATTACTGTTTCTTTGTAGTGTGTTTTCAAACCAGGAAGGGTAAAGTCTCCAATTTTATCCTTTTTCAAATTTTTTTAAAGATGCTATATGAATTTTAACTTTTGAAAAAAATGGCTTTGATGTTTTAATAAAAGTTGCATTGAATTTTAAGATCACTTTGGGTAATATAGGTATTTTAACACTATGAAGTCTTCCAACCCATAAACATGAGATGTTTTTCCCTTTATTTGTATCATCTTTGATTCATTTTAACAATGATTTGGAGTTTTCAGTGTATAAGTCTCACTTTTTTAGTTTATTTCTAAGTATCACTCTTTTTGATGCTGTTGTAGATGGTTTCCTTACTTATCTTTTTGGGTTGGTTAGTCTTAGTGTATAGAAATGCAACTGATAATTGCATGTTGATATTATGTCCAAGAATTTTGCTGAAATTAATGATTGGATTTTATGATTTTTTTAAATGGGATCCTTGTGGTTTCTACATATAGGATCATATCATCTTCAAACAGAGCTAATGTTACTTCTCACTTTCCAAATTGAATGTCTTTTAATTCTTTTCCTTTACCATTGCTCTGGCTGGGACATTCAGTAGCATGTTGAATAGAAGTGGCAAGCGTGGACATCCTCACCTTGCTCCTCATAATAAAGCATTAGTTTTCACCATTGAGTATGATTATAGCTATAGGTGTTTCATATATGGTCTTTATTATGTTAAAGAAGTTTCCATTTGTAGTTTTTTGAGAGCTTTTTGTCATGAAAGGGTAAAGCTTTTAGTCTTTCATAATTAAGTATGATGTCACCTGTGAGCTTTTCATATACAGCTTTATTTTTTGAAACTGTTTCTTCTTTTCCTAGTTTATTGAACATTTTTATCGTAAATACCATCAAATGCTTTTTTCTGCATCAATTGAGATGGCCATATGGTTGTTGTCCATCACTCTGTTAACACAGTGTATTGCACTGATTGACTTTCATATGTTGAATCATCCTTGCATTTCAGGTTTAAGTAAATAACTTGATAACATATTTTGTCAAGAGAACCTCTTTCCACTGTATTGTGATTTTCTTAATTACAACTATATCTAAGTCCTAGTTTACATCCTATTTTTAATGAAACAGCTGATGTCTGTCCTTGACTAGATTCTAATGACTAAGAAAAATGTGTGTGTGTGTGTGTGTGTGTGTGTGTGTGTGTGTGTGTGTGTGAATAGTTTATGCAATGAATGAGAAGTACAAGGTAGTAGAAGGTAGTGGTTGAAAATGTGAGTTCCCAAGTCATACTTTATGGGTTTGTGCTGCAGTTATCTCAACTGTAAAATTGAAGCATCAATAGTAGAAATTTTACATAGCCAAAATAAGAATATAATGTGTTTGAATTTGAAATTAAATTTTGCTTGAAAAATTGCATTGCTAAAGTTGGTATTGATTTTTTAAATTATCATTTTTATTTTAGAATAGTTTTAGATTTTCAGCATAATTATGATGCTGGTACAGAGAATACCATTATATCCCACACTATTTTCCCTATTATTAGAATCTTATATTGTAATTGTACATCTCCCAGAATTGAATGAACTAAATGAAAAGATATTGATATGTTCATTAACTAAGTTCCAGCTTTATTTAAACTCCTTAGTTTTATCCAATATTCTCATTCTGTTCCAAAATATCATACAGGTTGTTACTTTGCATTTAATTATTATATCTCCTTAGATAGTTTCTCAGACTTTCTTGGATTTAATTACCTTGACAGTTTTGAGGAATACCAGTCAGAAAGTTTTTAGAATGTCCCTCAATTTGGAATTATCTGCTGATTTTTGTTATTCATGATTAGATTGTGGTTATGGATTTTTAGGAGGAAGGCTACAGAGTTAGAGTGACATTTTCTTCACAACATATCAAAGGGATATACCGTCACGATGACTTTCACTTTTGAAATTAACCTTAATCACCTATCTGGGTCATATTTGTCAGATTTCTCTGTAATAAAGTTATTATTTTATTCCTCTTTTCCTACATTGTACTTTTTGGAAAAAGTCATTCTGTATAACAGCCTACATGTAAAAAATGAATAGTGGTATGCCACCTCTTCACAGGTTAGATGGTGTACATAAATTATTTTCAATTATTGTGCATAAGGCATTTGTATCTTGTTCCTATATATTTATCATTCAAGCCTGTGTTTATGTCAATATGGACTTTAGGATATTGATACTTTGGGTTATAATCTAAAACCATTTTGGTGCTCAAATTGTTTCAGCTTTGGCCATTGGAAGCTCTTTCAGTTGGCTTTCAGTTGTGCCCCTTTCAGATATGTCCATCAATATGACTTGTTTTATTTTGCTTGTTTTATGGTACTTTCTTATTTTTTGGCATTATGAAGTACTCCAAGCCTCTCTTGTATATTTCCTGCTCTAGTCCTTGAATCAACCCTTTATTCAAATAAATTCTAGTTTCTTTTATTAGAGAATGGTATTAGAAACCAATATTTTGGCACTAGGAATGATTGTTGCTATTAGAATTGTGTTGCTTTCTAGCTACAACTCACACTTATCAACCTCATGGTTCTCCCTTATTCAAATAAGAATCATAAAGGAAAAATAAATTCAGAATATGTAGATAATTACTGATGATACAAAATTTAGAAATTAGAGGAGAAAAAATAAAAGAAGAATAAAAGAAGACTGAAGAAAGCCCACAGGACATACGTAACAACATTAAGCAAACAATTTTTACATTATAGAAGTGCCAAAGAGAGAAGATATGAAGAAAGGCACAGAAAACCCATTTAAGGAAAAAAATAATAAATGAAAAATGTCCAAGTATTAAAACAGATATTTACTGACATTCAGATTTTGGAAACTTAAAAATATCCAATGAAATCCAACCTATAAAGATCTTCTACAAGGCACACTGCAATCAACTTTTCAAAAGTTAAAGATAAGAGAGAATTCTAAAAGCTGCAATAAAAAAGCATCAGGTTGCATGTAAGATAATTCACATTAGACAATCAGCAAATTTCCTAGCCAAAACTTTGCAGGAGAGAAGAGATTGAAATCATTTATTCAGGAAGTGCTATAAAGGGAGACAAAGGATAATAATTGCTATAATGAAAACACAGAAAGGTATAAAACTCACCAGTACAGGTAAATTTATAAATCAGGTTCAGAATACCCCACTGGTGTACTGGTGATATGTAAATCTCTGAATCCTCCAGTATAAAGGTTTAAAATCAAAGTGGTCAAAACAACAGCTACAATTAGTGCCTGAGGAACACACAATAGATAAAGAAGTAAATTAAGAAAACAAAAATATAAATCGTGTGTGGGAGGAGAAAAGTCTAGAATATTTTTTCCGCCCAAAATTAAGTTATTAATAGCTGAAATAATCTAATTCTATAAAACTGTTTATTAACCCCATGATAACCAAAAAGAAGAAAATTACAGTAGATACAGAAACAAAAAAGATAAAAGAACAGATAGAGAACTCAGAAATAAATCCACACATTTAAGTCAAACTGATTTTTGACCAAGTTTCCAAAAACACACATTAAGGAAAAAATAGCCTCTATAATAAATGGAGCTAAGAAAGCTGAATATCCATAATAGACCTCTACTGCTAACCAGTCTCTTCAATAAATCATGCTGGAAAAATTGAATATCCATATACAGTAGAATGTGACTAGCTCCTACCTCTTAGCATATATAACAATTAAATCAAATGGATTAAAGACTTAGGTATAAAACCTAAAACGATGAAACTATTAGAATAAATAGGAAAATGTTTTATGACACTGGACCAGGCAAGGGTTTCTAAAATAGGACCTCAGAAGCACCGACAAAAGAACCAAAAATAAACAAGTAGGATTATATTAAATTACATTTAACTAAAATTTTGTTTGTACAGCATGGGAAACTATTAACAGAATGAAGAGACAACCTACATAATGGGATAAAATATTTTAAAATTATACCTCTCATGAAGGGTTAATATCTAGACTATTAAGGAATTTAAACAACTCAACAGCAAGAAATTTAAAAATTGCCTATTTAGGTTGGGCATGGTGGCTCATGCCTGTAATCCTAGCACTTTGGGAGGCTGAGGTGGGCGGATCACTTGAGGTCAAAATAGTTCGAGATCAGCCTGACTAACATGGAGAAACTCTGTCTCTACTAAAAATACAAAATTAGCTAGGCTTAGTAGCACATGCCTATAATCCCAGCTACTCAGGAGGCTGAGGCAAGAGAATTGTTAGAACCTGGGAAGCGGAGGGTGCGGTGAGCTTAGATCACGCCACTGCACTTCAGTCTGGGCAACAAGAGCAAAACTCCGTAAAAAAAAAAAAAAAAAAAAAAGGAAAAGCCATTTAAAAATTGGCCAAAATACCTCAAATATTTCTCAAAAGAAAACATACAATGGCCAACCAGTATATTTTAAAAGCCCAACATCACTAAACTACAATGAGAAATCACCTAACTGCAGTTAGAATGTCTATTATCAAAAAGACATAGAGATAATAACTGCTGGCAAGGATGTAGAAAACAAGGAATGCTTTCATACTTTTGATGCTAAATCCATTATGGAAAATAGTAGGGAAGTTCCTCAAAAAATTAACAATAGAACTATTACATGATACAGAAATACCACTACTGGGTATATATCCAAAGGAAATTATATTAGCACATTAAAGAGATATTGGCACTCCAGTGTTTATTGCAGCATTGTTTATAATATCCAAGATATAGAATCAAACAGCCAATCAATACCCAACAACAAATAAGTGAATAATGACAAAATGATATATATATATATATATATATACACACAAAGTAATACAATTTGGCAATTAAAAAGAAGAAAATTCTGTCATTTCTAACAATAGAATAAATCTGGAAGATATCATGTTAAGTGAAATAAACCAGACACAGAAATATAATATTGCTTGATCTCACTCATATTTGGAATCTAAAAAGAAAAAAAAAAGTTTTTGATAGCAGCAGGAGACAGAAAAATTCCTAGGCAGACAGGGATGGGTTGCCAGTAAAACCTGAACTTAAAGCCAAAGACAGCATGAAGCCTGAAAACTGAGCTGCCAGTTCAAGGTGGAGCCCACAACTAGAGTGAGAACTTCCTCTATGCCTTTTAGTCAAATAGTGCTTTTACCAGGTCTGCTCATGGACCAATCAGCATGTACTCTCCCACTTTGAGCTCATAAAAGCCCTGAACCCAGCCTCACAGATGGTTACCTGCTTTCGGGCCCTCTCTCACACAGAGGGCTACCCAGTTTGGGTTCCCTCTCATTTTCGAGAGCTCTTCTGTCACTCAATAAAATTCTTCTCTGCCTTGTTCATTCTCCAGTGTCTGCACACCTCATTCCTCCTGGTTGTGGGACAAGAAACACATCTACCAGCAGGTGTAACACTCGCTCCTGCTTGGCAAGCTATGGGAGTGAAAAAACCACAGGGCACCACACTCTCCCGTTCACGGAACTGTGGGCAGTGGGAACAAAGAGCGCTAACACTTCCTGGGGGCTCAGACCTCGGGACTCCCAGAGCAAAAGCTGTAACACCCCTTGGGGTGCCATGGTTGCTAGCATCTCCAGGTTTTTGGGAACCGCTGCATCCACCTCATCCGGGTGCTGATGCCCAAGGTGGAAGCTGGTCACAGCATGTCCTCCAGACCATTCATGGGCTGAATGCAGAGCCATGACGGGCCTGGGATCCAGGCCAGTAGCTTGAGTTGACTCCAGCTTGCTGGGCTGATTGGGCAGAGTGAGCCCAGCAGGCCTAAGCGAAGCGTGGGCACAGGCACCACCAGCAATGAAGATTTCTCAATAGCGAAGCAGCACCAAAAGTATCCTGTGTCATTATTATCATAGAAGCCGACAGTATAAGAGTGGTTAGAAGAGACTAGGGAGTGAAGAGAGAAGGGGAGGATGGAGAGAGGCTGGTCAATGGGTACAAAATTACAATACGATAGAAGGAATATATTTAAGTGTTCTAATACACAGTAGAGTGACTATGGTAACAGCAGAGTGCTGTATTACGAAACAGCTGTAAGAGAGGATTTTGAATGTTCTCACCACAAAGAAATGAAGAATGAATGTGGTCATGGATATATTAACTACCCTGATTTGATCACTACACAACAGAAATACATATTAAAACATTAAACTGTTCGTCAGTTTAAAGCAATTAAATATGTTTAATTGCAATGTGTCTATTAGAAATATCAATTAATTAAAACATAAATATGATTAGTAGCATGTTATAATACCAATGGATTTACTTGGAAACTTAGGACTTTTAGTGCTCACTTACCAGACTCTATCAAAAAAATTGTCCAGAAAAAAGTACATTAGTATCACTTATTAATTATAAAAAGGCATAATTTTATGTATTTTTATTTATTTTATAATTTTATATGTTACATATATATATACAAAATTTTATATTTGTATTTTATATGAAAACACAGAGGGCGAAGTTAAGTAGAAGGCTAGTATGATACCATTACTTATAAAAAAATAAATATTGCTCTTTTGATGAGAAATTACTGTTCTTAGTAGAACAAGATCGAGTGCTTACAATTCATTAAGGAGAATTTTATAATTAATAAAGGTTACATTGCAAAACAATGTGAAATATATAATTTGCTTAATAGTGTTATGGAATAAATTGTGCTCTCCAAAAATTTATATGTAGAATCTCTAACCCCCAATATGACTGTAGTTGGAGACGGGTTCTCAAAGAGTTAGTTAAGGTTAAAATGAGCACCTAAGAGCACAACCCTAATTCAGCTGGAATGTTGTCCTTATAAAAAGTGGGAGAAGCAATCAAGGGTGCACTCTCACAGAGAGAAGGACATGTGAGGATACAGCAAGAAGATGAACATCTGAAAGCCAAGAAGTGAGGCCCCAGGAGAAATCAAACCTGCTGGACTTTCCACCTCCAGAATTGTGTGTAAATAACTTTCTATTGCTTAAGTCACACAGTCTGTAATATTTGTGGATGACATTACTAATAGAATAATACAGATGATTTGCTAAAAGTTGAATCACTTTATGGAAGAAAAATAAATATGGTCATGAAACACAGATCAAAGTGCAACTCTGCTTTCATTCAATGCAAATTAGGTAATTTGCCTCAACTGTCCTGCTCTAGATGAAATACATTAAAATAATTTGCTTATAAACATTGAAGATTGCTGAGTGAGTGCAGTGGCTCACATCTGTAATCCCAGCACTTTGGGAGGCTGAGGTGGGCAGATCACTTTAGTCCAGGAGTTCAAACCAGCCTGGACAACATGGTGAAATCCTGACTCTACAACAAATACAAAATGGCATCATGTCACATGCCTGTAGTCTCAGCTACTTGGGAAGATGAGGTGGGACGATTGCTTGAGCCCAGAAGGTGAGGTTGCAGCGAGCCATGATCATGCCACTGAACTCTAGCCTGGGCAACAGAGTGAGACCTCATGTTAAAATAATAATAATAATAATAATAAAAGCTAAGAAGATTGTAAAATAATTAGCAGAAGAGAGGAAGAAAGGTTCTGGCAGAAGTAGTTCTGCAGTTGGGAGCTCCTTTTTCCTGAGGACACAGGCTGCTGTTATAGGGGAAAGCTAAAAGGTGAACCTTTCCTACTGTAGCAGCATTTAAGAGCTAGAATGGTATAAATTGTTTTTTGTCCTTGGTGAATACACTTTCAATTTTGGTAGAGATCTCAAAAAGATGCACTATATTAACATATTCTTAATATATTCAAGATAATAAAATTTCAGGTATGAATTTCAAGAGAGAATTAGAGACTATAAAAAACTATTACAAATTTTAATATATAATAATATAGCAACTGAAATTAAGAATTCATTGGATGGTTTTAACAGCAAACTATGAGAGATATATAGAAAATTGTTAAATTAAATAGGTCAGAAGCTAAACGGATAATTAGTAGATTGAATAGGTCAGAAGAAAATTTCCACAGCAAAACTGAGACAGATAAAGAATTTTTAATAATGCAGAAAAGATACTGGACACAGTGACACACACCTGTAATCCCAGCACTTTGGGAGTCCCAGGTGAGCAGATTGCTGGAGCTCAGGAGTTTGACACTAGCCTAGGCAACATAGCGAAACCACATCTCTACACACACACACACACACACACACACACACACACTTAACTGGATGTGGCAGTGCGTGCTTGTAGGTCCAGCTAGTTGGGAGGCTGAGGTGGGAGGATCTCTTGAGCCCAGGAGATCGAGGCTACAGTGAGCCATGATTGCACCACTGCACTCCAGCCTAGGCAACAGAGTGAGATCTGTCTTAAAAAAAAAAAAAAAAAAAAAAAGGGTAAAAGACTTTAAAGACCTGAGGAAACTTTTTAAAGTATAACTGAAAACTCAGAATAAGAGGATAAATAAAAGAGTCGCTTCAAATATTTGAGAAAATAAAGGAAAATAATCTGCCAAAGCTAAAAAAAAAAAAACCGTAAATTCTACAAGCTATCAGATGGAAAAATATGTATTTCAAAAATTTTCAAACAGTTCCTTAGTGGTGAAACTGCTCAAAATAAAAAGTATTAAAGAAAAAAGTCTTAAGAGTATTGAGAGAAAAAAAGAGAAATTACTAAAAATATAAAAATAAACTAACGGCTGACTTGACAACTGAAACACTGAAAACCAGAAAATAATAAAACAGTATTCTCAAACTACTGAAATAAAATATGTGCCAGCTTAGGATTTTGTAATGTCATATGTCTTCAAAAATAAATGAAAATGTAAAAATTTCAATGAAACAAAAATTGTGGTATACCCTAACCAGCGTACATTTACTAAACTAAATAAAATCTTTAAAAAGTAAGAAAATAAAAGTATAGAAATGCAGAAAAAATAAATACCAAATTACAATAGATAAAAATTATATAAATATAAATGAATATTTACTTTAGTATAATTAGTATTTTGGAAATGTTATATGTGTATAAGTACATACATATAAACATATGACAGAAATAAAGAGGAAGAATATAGTAACTTTTCAAAGACCTTTATGTTGTTGTAAAAATAGTAAATGTATTATTAATAATGAAAGAATAATGAGTGCTACCATTTGCAGCATAAACATTAAGTAATAGTATTCTGTAAATGCCAGTTTAGTTTAGCTTTAAAATGAAATTAAAATACTAAGACAATATAAAAAGTTTAAAAAGGAAGAAAGCAACATACTGTAGGCGTAACAGATAAAAGCTCTAAAAATTGTAGATATGAATCTAAATATATCAATAATAATGCTAAATTGTAAATTAGCTATAGCTATGCTTAAGGACCTAGATTTTAAACTTGATGAAAAGAAGAAAACTCAGTTATATGCTTTTTATAAGGACACTCTCAAAACTTAAGGACATAGAAGAAATTGTGTTAGTTTCCTTGGCTGCCATAACAAAGTATTACAAATGTGTTAGCTTGAAACAACAGAAATTTATCCTCTCACCATTCTGAGGCTGGAATTCTGAACTTAAGGGTCCTTATTCTATGAGAGAGAAAGGTCTTGCTTTGTCTGAAGTTTCTAGGGGAGACTACTTTGCCTCTTCCTAGTTTCCGGTGGTTTCTTGCAATCCTTGGTGTTCCTTAGCTTAAAGATGCTTCACTCCAATATCTGCTAGTCATTCCATGGCAGCCAGCCTGTGTATCTGTGTCCCAGATTCCCACTTTGAATGACACAGGTATGTTGCATTTAGAATCCATAATAATCTCGCAAATTTTATCTTAACTTGATTACAGCTAAAAAATAACCTGCTGCCAAATCAAGTCACATTTACAGATCTGGGTACATATAAATTTTAGTTAGACACTATTCAACCCAGTATAGTCCTTCCTTTTGCCCCAAAAATCCATGTCCTTTCCACAAGCATATTACATTCCAGTATCCCCAAAATCTTAGCGCATTCCATCAATAACTCTAAATGTAAAATCTCATCCGAATACTGTCAGCTCAAAATAAATAAAATTAGTAGAATCTCAACAAAAATAAAACACATAGAAGGCATATTAAAATCCAGGCACAAGTAAAAAATAATAAATAAAACGAAAAGTGTTTTGAAGATTAGTAGAATTGATAAAGATCTAGTAATAATATCAAGATAAAATAAATCTATAAATTATTGATATTTTCAATGAAAGTGAGGATATCACAAGAGACACTAAATGTATTAGAAACATAATTAGTAATAAAATAAATAAGTTTATACAAATTCAACAACTTAGAGAAAATGAACAAATTATTTAAAATGCACTAATAGAATAGACACAACATAAAATGTACAGTATAAATAGCCCTATATTGCTGAAAAATTGATCAATAATATTTTACCAACAAAACACCAATTTTCACACGCATATTTTTACTCCTGCTGCATCAAACTAAAACGGTTGTGCACAGCAAAGGAAACAGAGTGAAAAGAGAACCTATAGAATGGGAGAAAATATTCACAAACCACATATTTAAGTGGCTAATATCCAAAATATATAAGAATCTCAATTAATAGCAAAAAAATGAATTAAAATTCTACAGAAGACCTCAGTAGATATTTCTCAAAAGAAGACACGCAAAAGGCCAACAGATATATGAGAAAGTGGTCAACATTACTAGTCATCGGGAAAATGCAAGTCAAAAGCACAGTGAGATACCACCTCATACCTGTTAGGATAGGTGTTATCGAAAAGACAGAGTAAGTATTGGCAGGAATATGAAGAAAAGGGGATCCTTGTACACTGTGAGAATGTAAATTAGTACTGTCATTTGACAGACAGAGTGAAAGTTCTTTAAAAAATTAAACATAGAACTACCATATGATATAGCAACCACACTTATGGGTATACATTCAAAGGAAATGAAATCAGTATCTCAGAGATTTCTGCATTCCTATGTTCATTGCAGCATTATTCATAGACAAGATGTGAAAATAACCTTGCTTATATATGGCATAATATTCTTATATATTCCATTATGCACAATATCCCATTATACAAATAATTTCCCATTATGTATGTATAGGTTTGGTTCCATGAGATGAATAATTTCTGGAGATCAAATGTACATCATGGTTACTATAATTAACCAGATGATATTATATATTTGAAATTGGCTTAGAGGGTCGACCTCAACTGTTCTCATTTACAATATTAACAATGTCTACCTATATCAAAAAATCAAGTTGTACACCTTAAACATATACCATTTTTTGTCAATTTACCTCAGTAAAATTGAAGTTAAATAAATGTGAATATATATATATATATAAAAGTTCAAAAATAAAACACAAATGTTCAGTTTTCACTGATAAATATTAATCAACCATTTAAGGTGAAAATATCTATTTTATACAAACTCTTTCAAAATAGTGCCAAAAATTGAACACTTTTCAATTAATTTTATGAGGCCAACATAACTCTGATACCACAACCAGGCAAAGACATTACGAACAAATTTTCCCTCATGACGAATAATTATGTGTGTGTGTGTGTGTGTGTGTGTGTGTGTGTGTGTGTGTGTGTGTGTGTGTGTGACAGAGTCTTGCCCTGTCGCTCAGGCTGGAGTACATTGGCACAATCTCGGCTCACTGCGACCTCCACCTCCTGGCTTCAAGCTATTCTCCTGCCTCAGCCTCCGGAGTAGCTGGGATTACGGGCATGCACCACCATGCCCGGCTAATTTTTGTATTTTCAGTGGAGACAGGGTTTCTCCACAGTGGCCAGGGTTCTCTCGAACTCCTAACCTCAAGTGATTCCACCCACCTCGGCTTCCCAAAGTGCTGGGATTACAGACATGAGCCACTGTGCTAGGCCATGATTAATAATTCTATATTTTCAAATATATTTAGCAGTTAGAAAATTATAAAATCCTATCAAATAACATTTATCTCAGGAATGCAATGTTGACATAATATTGGAAAAGTTTTTCATGTGATACTTTATGTTAAAATAAGGGATAAAAAAATATGCTTTTATCACAATAGATGTAAACATTTTAAAAAGCAATGAACAAAAGTCATCACTTCTTTTTGATTGTAATCTCAGCAAACTCGTATTAAATAGGAATGTCCTTACCTGATAAGCAGAATCTATGAAAGATCTACAGTCAGCATTCATCATTCTGTATTTTTTTTTACTATATACTTTTTGCCTTTGTGTTACTATAGACTTTCTGCATATACTATTTGCCTTTTTCTTATCAGAACTAAGTAGTGTGTTCTTTCAGTTTCCTTTTTTTTTTTTTTTTTGTCCCCAGGGAAATATGGTTGAAACAGCAGAGATCAGTTGGCCACCCCGTATCAATCAGTGTGGTTTAGTGGTTAGACTGTAAGAGTTACTGATAGGCACTCAAAAATTGCTGAAACATGCATAATCTGATTTTTAAAAAAGCATCGCATACATTACTGACGAAGTAATGATGCATTGTTATGTGTCAAGAAAACCTCTCTTCTTGCTCAGAGGAGAGTCATAACGTTTTAGAATGATCAGAAAAGGTTTCATGTCGGGGACAGAAGTCTTCTGAATAATAAAATTCTAATCCAGTATCAAAATCCCACCTTCGGTTTTTCTTCTGCTTGCCTTGGCATAGATAATAGGCTTCTTTCAAAGCAGTCTTAATTGCAAGCATTAGAATAACAGCCCATTTTTTCACCACTGACAATGCCTATAAAAGGCAGCCACTTTAGAATTAACAATTTATTTCACCATACTCAGAAACTTCTGTGCAGGAAACTGGCGATTAGTGACCAGCATCAACGAAATAGAACACAATTATTAGCCAAATTATTTGTAATAGTCTTATACTCATGTAGGCACTCTCAAAGATGGACGTTTCTTCTTCCATGATATTTTGCAAGTTATACTATTTCACTAATATTGTAAGAAACTTAACTACAGAGTAATTATAGAAATTTAGTGAGTTACATCTGTCTGCATGTTGAACATACAAAAATGGTATAATTTTATTAAATAATAAGATTAGAATTTTCCTATGACAAAAATAAAAGGTCAGTTTTTGTTTTCACGGATACCTTTTTAAATATTTAAATATATTAAGCTATTTTTTTTCTTTTTATAAACAGGGTCTCACTCTATTGCCCAGGCTGGAGGGTAGTGGTGCAATCACTGGCTCACTGCAGCCTGGACCTACCTGGGCTCAAGCGATCCTCCCACCTCAATCTCCCCAGTAGCAAGGGCTACAGGCATGCACCTCCATGCCCGTCTAGTTTTTTTTTTTTTTTTTTTTTTTTTTTTTTTGTAGAGACGGGTTTTGCCGTGTTCCTCAGGCTGGTCTTGAAATCCTGAGCTCAAGCGATCCGCCTGCCTTCGACTTCTAAAGTGCTAGGATTACATGTGTGAGCCACCGTGCCAGCCGGCAGCGAGCCTTAAACTTCATTATCCACCAGTTCAAATTATCAGAGAGAAAGTACGTAATTTTCAGCCCCTGAAAATTAATTTTCTTGTTACTTTTCTCCTAAGATGTATATTTGTTTTTATTATAAATGAAACAAATAAAAATAAAAGATATATTGGCATAAAAATACAACTAGAACTCTATATTTTTGTCTGATTTATCCTAGTTTTAAAAAATGTAAATTAGAAAATTAAAAATTATATATATTTATGGTATATAACATAATGATACATGTATACATTGTGGAATGACTAAAGCTATTTAACATATGCATTGCATCACATTATTTTTATGGTGAGGACACTGAAAATCTACTCTCTTAGCAATTTTCAAGCATACAATATATTGCTAATAACTATAGTCACTATGGTGTACTATAGATACCTTTCCAAACTAAAATGTGTCTTTCCACCATCATCTCTCCAATTCCTCAACTAAAGCCACTGGTAACCACCATTTTACTCTCTTTTTCCTTGTAGAACTCACCATATTTACTTTGTTTTTTTATCATTTGGGTTGCCAATAATTATACACAAAAAAATCAGATGAACATGTTTTAGACTACTAACATAATCTAACTTTCACTATTATTCCCAGCCTGTAGTAACCATCATTCTGCTGTCTACCTCCATGAAATCAATTTGTTTATTTCCCACATAAGAGTGAGAATATGTGGCATTTGTCTTTCTGTTTCCTGGCTTATTTCACTTAACATAATGACCTCCAGTTCCATCCATGTTGCTGCAAATGACAGGATTTTCTTCTTTATTATGGCCAATAGTATTCTATTGTGTATATACATCACATTTTCTTCATCCATCCATTGATGGAGATTTAGGTTGATTCCATATTTTGGCTATTGTGAATAGTGTGTGATAAACATGGGGGTGTAGCTATCTATTTGATATGTTGATTTTCTTTTGATTTTATTGATATATCACCCACTAGTAAAATTGCTGGTATTTTCAGTTTTGTTTTTTTGAGAAACTTCTATAGTATTCTCTGCAGTGGCTACAGTAATTCACTTTGCCACCAACAGAGTATGAGCTTTCCCCTTTCTCCACATCTTCACCAGCATCCATCATTGCCTTTTTAATAAAAGCCATTTTTAACTGGGTGAGGTAATGTCTCACTGTAGTTGTGATTTGAATTTCTCTGATTATTAGTAATGTTGAACATTTTACTTATACCTTCCTGCCATTTGTATGTCTTCTGAAAAATATCTACTCATATTTTTATCCATTTTATTTACTTATTTATTTTGAGATAGAATCTTGCTCTGTCACCCAGTCTAGAGTGAAATGGTGACATCATGGCTCACTGCATTCTCAAACTCCTGGCCTTAATTGATTCTCCTGCCTCAGCCTCCCCAGTAGCTGGGACTACAGGTGTGTGCTATCATGCCTGGCTAACTTATTTATAATTATTTCGTAGAGACAGGGCCTCACTATGTTGCCAGAGCTAGTCTTGAACTCCTGGCCTCAAGTGCTCTTCCAGCCTCAGCCTCTCAAAGTGCTGAGATTGCAGGAGTGAGTCACTGTGTCTAGCCTTGTCCGGTTTAAAATGGAATCACTTTGCTTTTCTATTGAGTTGTTTGAGGTCCTTATATATTATTTCTAGTTATTAATCTCTTGTCACATGGAGAGTTTGCAAATATTTTCTGCCATTCTATAGGCTGTCTCTTCACTTTGTTGATTGTTTCTATTGCTGTACAGAAGGTTTTTAGCTGATATAATCCCATTTGTCCATTTTTGCTTTGGTTGCCTGTGCTTTTGAGGTCTGTCTTAGGAAATCTTTGCCTAGACTAATGTCTTGACATGTTTCCCCAGTGTTTTCTTCTAGGAACTTCATAATTCCAGGTTTTAGATTTGAGTCTTTAATTTTTATTTGATTTTTGTGTATGCTGAGAGAAAGGGATCTAGTTTCATTCTTTTGCATATACTTATCTAGTTTACCCAGCACATTTATTGAAAAGACAGTCCTTTTTCCATCGTATGTTCTTGGCAACTTGGTCAAATATAAGTTGACTGTAAATGTACAAATTCGTATCTGAGTCTTCTATTCTTTTCCATTGGTATATGTGTCTGTTTTCATGTCAGTACCATGCTGTTTTGGTGACTATAGTTCTGTAGTAAATTTAAAAGTCAGATATTGTGATGACTCCAGTATTTTTTGTTATTGCTCAGGACTGTTTGGCTATTTGGAGGCTTTAGTAGTTAAACATAAATTTTAGCATTTTAAAAAAATTTCTGTGAAGAATGTCATTGAAATTTTAATTGAGATTACATTGAATCTATAAATTGCTTTGTGTAGTATTGTTCACTTTTACAATATTAATTATTCCAATCCATGTGCATGCAATATATTTCCATTTTTGTGTCCTTGTCAATTTCTTTTATCAGGGTTTTATAACTTTTGTTTTACAGATCTTGCATTTCTTTGGTTAAATTTATTTCTAGGTATTTTATAGCTATTGTAAATGTGATTGCTTTCTTGATGTCTCTTTTAGATTATTCATTTCAATCATATATAAATGCTACTGATTTTTGTGCATATATATTTTTACCTACTGCATTTATCAGTTTTTACAATTTTTTGTGGAGTCTTTGGGTTTTTCTAACTATAAGATTATGTCATCTGTGTAAGATTATGTTTCTTTGATGCCCTTTATTTCTTTCTCTTGCCTAAATGTTCTAGCCAGGACTTCCAGTACTATGCTGAATAAAAGTGGTGAAAGTGGGCATCCTTTTTAAATTCCAGATCTTAGAGAAAAGGCCTTCAATTTGTTCTTATACAGTAGGATGGTAGCTGTGGGTTTGTCATATATGGCTTATTTTTGGATATTTTCCTTCTATAACCAAGTGGATGAGTGTTTTTATTATAAAAGGATGATGAATTTTATTGAATGCTTTTTCAAGCTGATCATACTGATGATTATATGATTTTGTTTTTGGTTCTGGTAATGTGATGTATCTCATTTTTTTAAATTTTTTTATTATTATTATACTTTAAGTTTTAGGGTACATGTGCACAATGTGCAGGTTAGTTACATATGTATACATGTGCCATGCTGGTGTGCTGCACCCATTAACTTCGTCATTTAGCATTAGGTATATCTCCTAAAGCTATCCCTCCCTCTTCCCCCCACCCCACAACAGTCCCCAGAGTGTGATGTTCCCCTTCCTGTGTCCAGGTGTTCTCATTGTTCAATTCCCACCTATGAGTGAGAACATGTGGTGTTTGGTTTTTTGTCCTTGCGATAGTTTACGGAGAATGATGATTTCCAATTTCATCCATGTCCCTACAAAGGACGTGAACTCATCATTTTTTATGGCTGCATAGTATTCCATGGTGTATATGTGCCACATTTTCTTAATCCAGGCTATCATTGTTGGACATTTGGCTTGGTTCCAAGTCTTTGCTATTGTGAATAGTGCCACAATAAACATACTTGTGCATGTGTCTTTACAGCAGCATGATTTACAGTCCTTTGGGTATATACCCAGTAATGGGATGGCTGGGTCAAATGGTATTTCTAGTTCTAGATCCCTGAGGAATCACCACACTGACTTCCACAATGGTTGAACTAGTTTACAGTCCCACTGACAGTGTAAAAGTGTTCCTATTTCTCCACATCCTCTCCAGCACCTGTTGTTTCCTGACTTTTTAATGATTGCCATTCTAACTGGTGTGAGATGGTATCTCATTGTGGTTTTGATTTGCATTTCTCTGATGGCCAGTGATGGTGAGAATTTTTTAATGTGTTTTTTGGCTCCATAAATGTCTTCTTTTGAGAAGTGTCTGTTCATATCCTTTGCCCACTTTTTGATGGGGTTGTTTGTTTTTTTCTTGTAAATTTGTTTGAGTTCATTGTAGATTCTGGATATTAGCCCTTTGTCAGATGAGTAGGTTGCGAAAATTTTCTCCCATGTTGTAGGTTGCCTGTTCACTCTGATGGTAGTTTCTTTTGCTGTGCAGAAGCTCTTTAGTTAAATTAGATCCCATTTGTCAATTTTGGCTTTTGTTGACACTGCTTTTGGTGTTTTAGACATGAAGTCCTTGCCCATGCCTATGTCCTGAATGGTAATGCCTAGGTTTTCTTCTAGGGTTTTTTATGGTTTTAGGTCTAATGTTTAAGTCTTTAATCCATCTTGAATTAATTTTTGTATAAGGTGTAAGGAAGGGATCTAGTTTCAGCTTTCTACATATGACTAGCCAGTTTTCCCAGCACCATTTATTAAATAAGGAATCCTTTCCCCATTGCTTGTTTTCCTCAGGTTTGTCAAAGATCAGATAGTTGTAGATATGTGGCGTTTTTTCTGAGGGCTCTGTTCTGTTCCATTGATCTATGTCTCTGTTTTGGTACCAGTACCATGCTGTTTTGGTTACTGTAGCCTTGTAGTATAGTTTGAAGTCAGGTAGCATGATGCCTCCAGCTTTGTTCTTTTGGCTTAGGATTGACTCGGTGATGCGGGCTCTTTTTTGGTTCCATGATTGTATATCTAGAAAACCCCATTGTCTCAGCCCAAAATCTCCTTAAGCTGATAAGCGACTTCAGCAAAGTCTCAGGATACAAAATCAATGTACAAAAATCACAAGCATTCTTATACACCAATAACAGACAAACAGAGAGCCAAATCATGAGTGAACTCCCATTCACAATTGCTTCATAGAGAATAAAATACCTAGGAATCCAACTTACAAGGGACGTGAAGGACCTCTTCAAGGAGAACTACAAACCACTGCTCAATGAAATAAAAGAGGATACAAACGAATGGAAGAACATTCCATGCTCATGGGTAGGAAGAATCAATATCATGAAAATGGCCATACTGCCCAAGGTAATTTATAGATTAAATGCCATCCCCATCAAGCTACCAATGAGTTTCTTTACAGAATTGGAAAAAACTACTTTAAAGTATCTCATTTTTATGTATTACATATATTGAACTAACTATTCTTGCACCATTTCATCATGGTGAATAATATTTTTAATGTGTTGTTTGGTCTGCCAGTATTTTCTTGAGAATTTTTGCATCCATGTTTATCTGAGATATTGTCCTATAAATTTTTTCATGTTGTGTCTTAGTCTTGTTTTGGTATCAGGGTAATATGGGCCAAGTAGAATGAGACTGGAAATATTTCTTTCTCTTCAATTTTTTGAAAAGTTTGGGTGGAACTGCTATTAGTTCTTCTTTAAATGTCTAGTAGAAATCAGAAGTGAAGCCTTCAGATCCTGGGCTTTTCTTTGATGGAAGACTTTTTATTACTGCTTCTGTATCACTACTTGTTATGGGTTTATCAAGGTTTTCCATTTCTTCATGGATCAATATCTGTAGGTTATATGTGTCCAGAAATGTACACAATTCCTCTAAGTGTTCCAATTAGTTGGTGTATTATGATCAAATGCTTCTAATAATCTGTAGTGATTCTTTGTATGTCTGTTTTTATATCTTCTTTTTCAACTCAGATGTTATTTTTTTGGGTCCTTCCTTTTTTTTTAGTCTAACTGAAGGTTTGTTAATTTTTTTTATTTTTTCAAAGAAACCATATTTGTTTTGCTTATCTTCTGGAATTTGTAGTCTCACTTTTATTTATTTTTGCTTTGATCATTTTATTCAGCCATTCAGAAGATATATATTGAGCCCTTAGCACAATTTATGTGTTGTTTTAGGCAATGCAAGAATTATAAAAATAAATCAAAATATTCATCAGAAGGCTAATTCTAACTAACTTCACAAAGAAATTTAGTTATTAATAGTAGGTTAAAAGTGGCAAGTGCTTTGTAAATTTTACAATATTTTTAATTTTTGTGGGTTGTAAATGTGTTCTTTAATTTCAACTTTTATTTTAGCTTCATAGGGTACAGGAGCAGGTTTGTTACATGGGTATATGTGTCTGAACTTTATTATATCCTTTCTTCTAATAATTTTACATTTAAATTGTTATTTCTTTTCTAATTCCTTAAGGTGCATCATCAGATTGTATATTTGAAGTTTATTTTTTGATATTAGTGTTTATTGCTGTTAACCTCTCTCTTAATATTGCTTTTGACATATTGAATAGATTTCAGTGTGTTATATTCTTTTGCATTTTTTTCAGGAAACTTTTAAATTTATTTCTTAATTTCTGCATTGACCCCATTGGTCATTTAAAAGTGTGTTATGACCAGGCATGATGGCTCACGCCTGTAATCCCAACACTTTGGGAGGCCGAGGCGGGCAGATCACAAGGGCAAGAGATCAGAGATCGAGAACATCCTGGCCAACATGGTGAAACCCCATCTCTAGTAAAAATACAGAAATTAGCTGGGCATGCTAGCGTGTGCCTGTAATCCCAGCTACGTGGGAGGCTGAGGCAGGAGAATCGCTTGAACCCTGGAGGCAGAGGAGGTTGCAGTGAGCCGAGGTCATGCCCACTGCACTCCAGCCTGGTGACAGAGCAAGATTCTGTCTCCAAAAAAAAAAAAAAAGTGTGTTGTTTAATTTCCATATGTTTGTGAAGTTTCTGAGGTTCCTCTTGTTATTGATATCTAGCAGCATAATCTATGGTCTGTTTTGGAGAATATTTCATGTGCTAGTGCAAAGAATGTACTTCTTGATGTCTTTTTTAGATTATTGACTTCAGTCATATATAAATGCTACTGATTTTTGTACATGTGTATATTTTTTGCTACTGAATTTATCAATTTATCTGTAGCAGCGGGGTGAAATGTTCTGTGTTAGGTTTACTAGGTCTAGTGTACAGTTACCTCTGATTAGCTTCTTTTTTGATTTCTTGTCTGGATGATCTGCCCATTATCGAGAGTGTTAAAGTTCACTACTGTTATTGTTTGAAATCTCTCTCCCATTAGATCTATTCATTTTAGATTAGATCCATTTTAACATTTTATCATTAGATCTATTTTAATATCTTTAATTTATATTTTATAATCTAATATCTTTTTAGATTATATGTTTTATTATTTTATCATTAAATCTATTTTCTTTGTATACTTGAGAGTTCCAGTGTTGGTTGCATAGCTATTTATAATTGTTCTATCCTCTTGCTGAACTGACCCCTTCATAATTATATGATGACATTCTTTGTCTTTTATTACAGTCTTTAATTTGTAGTCTACTTTATCTAATATAATAAATATAGTTACTCCTGTTCTTTTTTTAATTTTCAGTTGTATGGGATATCTTTTTACACCACTATACCTTCTGTCTATGTGAGCCTTTAAAGGTTGAGTTGGTTTAATATAGGCAGCATGTAGTTAGCTCTTAATTTATTTTTAATCTATTCAACTTTTCTATGCTTTTTAATTAGATAATTGAATCAATTTGCAGTGGGCATTTTTGTTGATAAGACAGGATTTTTTTCTGTTTCTTGTTTTATGGTTGTTTTGTAATTACTCTCTTCTATTGTCTTCTAATGGGTTAATTGATATCTTTCTGATAATATGTTTCAATTCATTGCTTTTTATTTGAATGAATTCATAATAGGCTTTTGTGTTGTGGTTAACATGAGGCTTGTAACAAAATATAGATATAACAAAATATTTTTCTCTCATCGCTTTGAAAAATGTTTTTGCATTCCCTCTTGGTCTGTATGGATGGTTCTGTTGAGAAGTCTGTTGCCAGATGAACTGGAGTTCCTTTATTTGTTATTTGTTTCTTTTCTCTTGCTGCTTATAGGACCTTTTCTTTTCCTTGACATTTGAGAGTTTGATTAGTATGGGCCTTGGAGTCACTTCATATCTGTGTGGTTTTCTCTGACCTTCTTACACCTGGATGCTTACATATTTCTCATGTTTGGGAAAATTTTCTATCATTATATTTTTGAAAAAGCTTTCTGCCTTGCTTTTGCTCAACTCTTTCTTGAACACCAGTTTTTCTTAAATTTGGTTATTTGAGGTAATTTTCTATATATTGTAGATCTTCTATCTTCATCCCTTTCTATTTTTTTATTTCCCTCTGTGTATTTTTAAATAGTCAGTCATCAAGATCACTGATTCTTTCCTGTGTTTGATCCCTTCTGTTGTTGAGAGTCTCTAATAAACTTTCAATTTCAGCAAATGTATTTCTCAGTTCCAAGATTTCTGAGGTTTTTTTTTTAGTATTTAAATCTTCTTGCCAAATTTCTCTAATAAATTATTGAATTGCTTTTCTTTGTTATCTTAGAGAAGACTGAGTTTCTTGAAAATTTTTATTCTAAATTTTTGGTGAGTGAGCTCATATTTGCTGTTTCATTAGGATCAATTACTTGTTCCTTGCCCTGCCCATTTGAGGATATTATGGTTCCTTGTAAGCTGTTGTTTCTTGTGAATGTATGTCTATGTATTTTCATTAAAGTATTAGTTATTTATTCCAGTATTCTCTGTCTTACTTATTTGGGTACTTATTAGATATATTTGTTTAGAGGGTTTTTTTTTTTAACTACTAGGTGACTGCTTTCTTTATGGCTCTAGCTGGCACCTTAAGCCAAGGTTCACCTCAGATATAGTAGTTAATCAACGTGCTGCCCTTCTTGAAAGGCAGCACATTGTTTCAAAGAGGATATCCTGGCAGCTTGAGAAGGCTGGCTGGAGGTTTGTGCATAAGTGACCTGTGAAACAAACCTACAGCATGCTGCTGCTAAATGGCCACTCTGATTTGCTGACACTTTTGGCCAACTTACAGAGCATAGTTTCTTGGGCTGAGGATAATAGTTCTACCTCCCCACTTTGTCTCCTCCTGCCCTCAGGGATATTTCATCCTTCAGACAATTCTGATGCTTTCCAAAGGTTAAGTCAGGGACAAATCCTCTACCAGGGAATCCAAGATGATGGGGAAGCTGGTTGTCCACTTCATTCTCATTTTTTCCAATGTACGAATTGTGAGTTTGGGGAAAATTTTTAGGCACTTGATGCCAGGGAGACTGTGGGAAGGCATTATGGGTGTGAAAGTGTAACTAACTTACCATCTGCTTGGAAATTTTTCCACTTCTCGGTGGAACTGTCTCAGCTTCATATGTGAGTTCTGAAATATTGCTTGTTATAATCTCAGTGCGGTATATTTGGTTTTGGTTTTTTGTGGGAGGGACTGAGGCCAGCCTGCTTCTATGCCACAATTTTGGAACCAGATGTCATATATATTTTAATCAGACTAAGAAATTATCTACAAATTATAATCTGCAGTCTTTCATTAATTGAAAACACATAATTTGAGTGGCTATTTTGTGGTAGGTGCTTGATGATCAAATAAATAAATGAACAATGAAATGAAATGAAAAGCTTCCAACAAAGTACAATTAATTAGTGCTTTCAAACAAAGTTGGTGGCAATAGAAGTAAGCAGAGGGAAACTAAGGAAAAAAATTGAAGCTTATAAATGCATTTCTTACTCAAGAGAACGATCAGCTTTTGCTGAGATTAGAACATAAAGAAGACATTTTCATTGAAGTCTGGAAGTGGAGATTGCTACCAGATTGTGGAAAGTCCTGAATGTGATATAAAAGAGTTTGTATTAGAAAAGGTCTAAAGGCTGGTAAGGGGAGCAATATAATCAAATATTAGTTTTGGCAGGAAAACTGGCTAGCTTGTGGGACATATTTTAGAGTGAGTAGAAACTAGAACATAAAGACTCATTCCTTAAGCTCACACGAGAGACAATCAAAACTTATATAAATAAATAGAAATATTTATTTAAGAATAAAATAGTTGAGTTTTTATGTAACTCTAGGAATGATTTAAATAGAGGAAACGGAAGAGTTGATGAAGAACTGGGTGGGCAGGTTGAAGGGAAGAGATGCATACAGCCTAGAGAATCTAAGAAAATCCAGGGATTCAGGTGAAAAGTTGGAGGACAGAGAAGTAAATAAAGGGAAAATAGGAAATCAGAATTTATACCATCTTTTTCTTAAGAAATTATTTTGAATGTGAGAACTATAATACATTTTTTTTTCTGAACTACTACCAATCATTTCCTCTACAGGATGATTTTGCTAAAACACACTCAGTTAAAATGTGACCTTCTAGGGATGGCAGGATGCAACACTGATTCCAGAAGCTTTAAAGTCTAACAACTAGCTTGTTTTCCTGAATTCAGGACTTTTTTTCTGACCATATCCATTAAGCACTACTTTAAAATTTGCTTTATTATTAGCCAAGGGCTTCTAGTAAACACGTTTGCCTTCTTTAAAGGAGGAGTATCACAGACACTTAAGCCCTAAGTAATTGGGATATTTGTATAGCCTGAGTTTTATTCATGGAGATTTACATTCAATTTCCATTAATCTTAATAGGAAGTCATTACCTAATTGGCATGGATGATTGATAATTCAGAATAATTCAAGATAGTGTTACCGCATTTGATATTTTCTGTTACAAATGTCAACAACACCCATTTAAAACTAAATATGCATCATGTTATCTATTCCCAGGTAATTCTCCACATGGGCAAAAGTTTACTTTGTAGATAATTTTAAAATTAAAAAAAAGAAACAGCATTGAACCCATTAAAGATGTTAAAATATCTTTAATAAGTAAAGCTATTTTAATACTCAGTTCTTATAATTAAGAATTGCTGAATAGCCTGGAAAGTTATATAAGAAAAATATTCTTTGTGATATCTGAATATATATTTAAACAAGAAAAATAAATATTATTAGCATATGTGAAATATAAAATTAACATAAAGCTTTGTTCTTAATATGAGATTTTTTAATGTCCTTAAGAATTTGTGTCATGTGTACCATTTTCAAATATATGATTGGGAAACAGAAAATATAAATTTGAATTTAATTTGTAGGCTAAATATTAAGTGACCATATATACATAGGAATGTGAGTGTCAGTGTATGTTCATCTGTAAGTAGTTACAGAAAAGTAAACAAGAATCACTGCAATGATAGAACCACTATATTCTAGTTTAATTATTTAATTTGTGTATTTAACATTTATATTTATGTATTTTTCAACCAATTTGTGCAAAATTAATTGTTAAATAATAATTAATAAAGTATATCCTACTTCCTATTTGCCACATATTCCATGCTGCAAAATTAGAATGCTATAAAGAAAAAGTATGTTCCTAGAAATAGTTATCAGATCTTTATATAATGCATATCAAATTATAACTAGTTGAAATAAGTACTGACCAAATTTCCAAATTTTAAAGCCATTTTAATGTTATAATGGAAATACATTAATTGTTTGTTATTATTCTGTCTTCTACAGACAACTTCATAAAAGGGCAATAAATAGAACTTACATTTATCATTGTTTTTATTAGAAGAAACCCCAGCTATGATAATTATTCTACTTTTCAGATAAGACCTGTGATTGGGACCAAGAGACAGAGAAACAGATAAAAGTGATAAAAATAAAAGTGATTGAAGCCTTCTAGGTCAAGATTTTCTCAAAAGTCAATGAACAGTCAGCTCACCTGATATTTTGTTTAAATGCAGATCTGACTCAGTAGGCCTGGAGTAGAGGATCTAAGATAATCTTCCTGTCACAATTCCAAATGATAATATTACTGATCTAAGGACAATACTTGAGTAGCAAGCCCATTCTTCCTAATTTTCCAAATACATAAATAAACTCAGCTAAATTTGATGATTCCCAAATACCATAAAATTGATCATGAGCAGACCCCAAACTATATCATATCATTTTTCTTGTATTAGCAATTTGTATACATTTTTATTTTTCTAAGTATCAATTACATTATTTTCTATGTCACAGCATTTATATTTTATTTAAATCAATTTAACTGGAACTAACTGAATCACTATTAGCGAATCTCTTAACCAAGTTTAATATTAGTGAAGGAAGAACAGTACATTAGGTAGAACATTGAAAACCCACAGGAGAAATTAGAAATTAAACATTAAGTAGTGACTGGAGGAATATTGGGCTGTGGTAATGTGATACTTTATTTGAATCTGTAATACGGTTAGGTTAATTTGAAAATACTTATTGTGTCTCAGTTCTAGTGTAATGATCCGATTCAACTGGCACAAAAAATTTCATTTGAATGTAATCTTTAAACCTTTGTACATATTTTCTCTTGTGAATTTAGTTAACCATGCCAAGTCATTGCAACAGAGTTCCCTACTGATATAGAGATTTTCTTTGGCCTGCAAATTAAGTTGTTTGTGACTTGGAGTAAGGTTCCTGCTAGGTCTGCCAGCTTGCTTTAAGCTAGAATGAAAATACATGAATGGTTGACTTATGTTGATGTAAACTGTAATTTGAATATGTTCCAATCTTTCCGAAAGCTTTCAGAATGTGTTGTAGTATGAAGTTGGATAATTATGTATTGTCTTCCACTAATAATAGTTATAAATTCAGCACATTTAAAAAGCCTGCATGAAAGTGTCAGTTTACAGAATGATATTTATATTAGCAAAAGTAATGCATTTCAAGGATAAAAACAAACAGTAAAGTAAGTGGAAATACAGCTACCTATTGGATAGCTTCCTTCTGGGAGGAAATTTCCACTCATATTTTCACAGATCTTAAGGAAAATAGTAACCTGTCAGTCAAAAGTAATTGATGATCTATAGTACTTGGAACTGTTTATCAATGGGTTTGTTTACATGCCAACAAGTCTATATAAATAATATTAACTATATCATAGGAGACGACTTGGTTCATGGTGTCTCCTAAGTCATACATTTTCACATTTTGCATGAGATGTAGAAATACATCACTGACAATAAGTAAAAATGAAAAAAAATTTCTCAAGGTCCCTTCCACTCCCCACTCTTGACTTCTTAGGGCCCTATATTTGGTCCAGTTCTTCCATAACAGCCAATTTCTAGATTTGTCTAGTCTTTTCTCCCACCCAAAATGAGAGAGAACATTTGTCTTAAAATTTCAACTTGATCTTCTCTTGACACAACAATCTGTTCTAATGCATTGGGGATTCACATTTGTACATTTTTACCAATGACTGAGATGAAATTATGGAATACACAGTTGACAGAGACATAAAGTGCTGGGTTTAGGAACTAAAATATATAATATTTTCATTCAGTCAGCACATTTATACTATTTGTTTAAGATATTCAAAACACTGTGCTTGATAGGATGGAAATGGTAGTGGCATAGATGATATTTTACATTTTTCAAACTTAGAAAAACAATAATAATCACATAAATTTTAGGCATCTTGAAAATCCATTGGACAGTACTGTATATTTTAATGTGAGATGTTTTGGGAATCTATAAATTATAACACATAAGTGACTATAAGTTTTGTCTATGTATGAAACTATATCTGTGGGAAAGTAAAAGGCAGGGCTGTGTTAAGTCAGATGTTTCACTCTATGCATTTTAGTATTACAACTTTGTGTGAGAGAATGCAAGTGCATTTACTCTGGGACTAGTTCAGAACCAAATGAAACATAGTATCTTTGGAAATCTGAAAAATGCATATTCAGTTATGTCTGAAGCATTTATATTTTAATATTGCTAGGATCCAAGAGGACTCCAAATGAATCGTTGGTTACGTAAAATCAATCTAAGATTCTGAGTTAGGAAAATGTACTCAGAACCAATTGTACAAGCACACACAGATGTGTACACACACACACACACACAGACACACAGAGGAATGCAGATGTACACACACACATACAGACACACACACACACAGAGGCACGCATACACATTCTGGTCGTTGTTTTCGTTTGTTTTTCCCCAAACCTCACAATGGACAAAATGATAAAAGCATGTTAGAGCTAAAATAGGTGAACTTTTAGATAAGTTAGCAGCAAATAAGAAACTGCCCAACAGCATAATTGGGCCCTTAATGCCATTGGCAACATTTCTGAACATCTAATAATTATACACTTGAACCTCTTTCTAGAGTTCAACATGAAGTTAAAGCTCACCTCAGGGCTTATTAAAAACTTATGCTTAGTCAAATCTTAACTTTTCCTGCATGGCTAGGAGGAACACTGATTTACTTAACCCTGTAATCTCTCATCTCAGCTGCAATATTCTTTATACTGGCTTGTTCCACTAAGAGGGGAATCATGTCATACTGATCTAAATTGACTTGTGCCTATGTCTGCTCCAATTTTGCCACAAGCAGAACCACAATATAGTATCACTTTATTAGAATTTATTTTCTTTTCAGTTACATCACATAAGTTATTCTCTCTAGATAGACAGATTTAGAGACAGAGAAAGAATAACTTCTGTGATATAACTGAAAAGCAAATAAATACTAATAAATACTTGTTATCAAATATATATGTGTGTGTATTTATATATATATATATATATATATATATATACACCACTTTGTTGTATTTTAAACTCTTAATTCAGTAGCTAATTCAAAAAATGTCTCTTAAGATAGATTGCCACTATTTTAATTAATATTTCTTGGTGTAACAGCTTTCTATTTAGCTGCAAAATTTTATTCTAATTACATTCTTTCCAAGAAGCTATGTAAATTATTGGCAGATTTAATACTCTCAGCCTGCATCTTCTCTCCCATTGAAAGATTTCTGGAGTTTACGTACAATTAATTACTAGCAACCATATCTTTGTGTATGTGATTCAGAATTTTGTAATGTTGGAGACATCCCCTGCCTTTAAAAGAAAATCCAGAAGAAAGACTGTTTTTCAATTTTTCCTTTTTCTTAACCTCTATCTCTGACTGCAGGTTAACTTCATTTAGGAGGAAGAATTGAACTTTAGGGAAAAAAACTTAATTCTATACAATGGTTTCACTGATGACTATATATCAAAGACCAGATTTCAAATAGGCACACAGTCCTTACCTTCTCTGTGGCCCGGTTGTACATCAGTACAATCACAAACTCCTACCTTCTTTATTCCAATTTATGTCATATGTGACTCCTTTCCCTTTGAACTCAATCATACTATTCCTTTCTGTTGTCGTTGTTATTGTTCAACAGTTTTCCATTACCCTATTCTAGTTAATTTCTTGCCAGCCTACTAGAAATTAATTTATGACAGGTTAGCCAGAATTTAATTAGAATAGAATATAACTAAATTAATTAATTTGTACGATCTCTTAAAAACTAAACATATTTAGAGCAAAAGGTTTCAGTAAACATTTGCTAAATGAACTTCTCATTTATCATAAAATAATAGCATTTCTCTATCAGTATTCCTAATATATGGACACACTACAATGTATTGCCAATTATAATAAAGCTATATTGCCCTAGTCAAATTCTTTAATCTCTCTGTGGCTCAGAGTCTTTGTTGTAATATTAGAACAAATATAATATTTATTTTATAGATTTATTTTGAGGATTAAATGATATACATATGCAATAGTTGGACTGCTTACTGGCAGATATCATTTGTAATAATAACAATTAAAGGACTTTTCCAGTCGGGCACAGTGGCTCACACCTGTAATCTCAGTACTTTGGGAGGCTGAGACGGGCAGATCACCTGAGGTCAGGAGTTTGAGACTAGCTTGGCCAACATGATGAAACCCCATCTCTACTAAAAATACAAAACTTAGCCGGGTGTGCTGGTGCATGCCTGTAATTCCAGCTACTCGGGAGGCTGAGATAGAAGAATCGCTTGAACCCAGGAGGTGGAGGTTACAGTGAGCCGAGATCGAGCCACTGCACTTCATCCTGGGCGGCAGAGTGAGACTCTGTCTCATAAAATAAAATAAAATAAAATAAAATAAAATAAAATAAAACAAAATAAAACAAAACAAAAATAAAACATAAAACATAAAAATAAAAAGACTTTTCCTAACATGTCACCTTTAGTTAGTTCTTTGGGAAACTAAGAATGGAGCAGACATGTGTCATGGATAAAGTCAAGTTTAGTAACCGAGAGTGAAAAAGGCACAGGTCACAAATAATAGTAACGTTTCAACAGGTTGAATAGAATGTGAAATAAAAATATGGGAATATAGGCAGGAACTGAATTTGAGTTATGTGTAATTGAAACAAAATGGAAAAGGAAATTGGCAGAATCATTAGACTGGGGGGTATTTCCCAACTGCTGCTACACAGATTGCAGCAGAGCGGGAATGAGAGAACTGTTATAAACAGCCTAGAAAATAAATGTATAGTAACTTAATCAATATCATAAATCCCTTTTGCCAAAAAGACAACTCTCTTTTAGACAGAATGATCCAATTTTAATATAATTCAGCTGAGGGGATACAGAATAGTATATCATAATTACTATTTTGTAATAACATCAAAAACAGTTCAAATAGTACATTATACATTTCCTTTTGCTTTTTTTCTCATGTTAAATCTGCTTTTGAGTGACAGATATCTACCTTTTTATACATTTATCTTTGTTATTGTTGAAGTTGGCTTTGCATATATTTACCACATATTATGAAATTCCTATCTCAGAGCTTTACAACGAATCCCATTAAATTAAACAAGAATAAAAACTATGTATTTTAAATACTGTGTGTTTAAAATAATAAAATAATGAAAAGAATACAAGCTATGTATTTTAACACTGTGCTGTGTGCCAGTAGCTGCTCCCTGTCTGTTACTTGTATCAATCCATTTGATTCCCACTACAGTTCAATAGAAAACAAATGAAGGGTGAGGACAAAGGCAATTTGGCTTTAGAGCTCATGTTCTTGATCATTCTGCCACTCTAGTAAACGAATAAAATGGGAGCTTGATGATGAACACAGAAATTAAAATATTATTGTGGAATCGTTCATGAACTGAGAAGTAATTTAAAGACAGCTCATTTTATTTCATACTATCCTTCTTTTATGTTTTTACTCTATTAAGTACATTTTATATAGGCAATAAAATGAACCAGAAGAGAGTTATTTGGGTATTTTTAAGTGGGAAGGCCAGGACCACTCCTCCACACCAAAGTAGCACACTCACAGTCCAAACGCCACTCACCTTGGCATGGACATGCTTGAAAATGAATTTAAATTAAATTCATTTAATTGTTTATGAATGAATTTAGCTCATTCCTGCTCTAGAGAGAGCAAAAGTAATTGTGTTGCATTTCAGTGTATTATTAAAAGAGGATAAATGTAACACACCATACCTAGTGGCACTGGTCTGTGGCCAGGACACACAATTGTAATAAAGTTCCCTTTCTTCCAATAATTCACAGTCACTTTCTTCCTCAATTATAACACATCAGGAAGGAGAGCTTTTTCCCAACTGGTTACTTTTTTTACGGGATTAAGTGAGAGAGATGATGAAATAATAAATACTAAGTCAATTCCTGTATCTTACTAGGAGAGGAAAGCTTAATCAATCAAAATAATCTTTTCTCTTTCTGAGATATTTTAAATTAATGCATGCCAAAATTTAGGTGTAGCACAGACGGAGTTATTCTTTTCTCTTCGTTTAAAGAGGAGAATATCATATAATATAACCAAATGACCAAATTCAGTTTGACATTTGTTTCATCCTTTTTATCTGAATACTAAGTTTAAATAATGGCAAACGGGTTTTTAAGATATTTTGTGTTGAAAAATGTTTAATTACTAAAACCTATCATTTAAAATATTGCATTGATATAGAGTATTTCCATTTAATGTTTTGATGGTTTAAGATTATTTATCTTTTAAATATCTTGTTCGCCTTTGTTTTCTAAAACATGGTGAAATCAAAAAGAGTACATTTCCATGGAGGACATATGCAAAAAGATAATTAACCATGATGTAGAGGGAAAACAAGTTGCACAAAAATTATACTCCCTAATGTTGCCTCATTTATTTTAAATAAGTACTTACTTTCTGAATAAAGTACAACATACAAAAACAGAAAACCATAAGAAAATAACAAAAAAAACTATAAGATATGGTAAATGAGAAATACATTTCTGCATCCTTAAATGCTGAAAAAGCCAAATTCTGTTTATTTTACAAATATATTTTTACTTATTTGTGATATTTTTAGTTTTTAAAGCTGTCAAAAAACGTTTCAGTAACTGCAAAGAGACTTCCACAACATGTGAAGAATAACTTAGAGCTAAATGATATAATACAGGCAATATGTAATACAGAAGCACACCTCTGTTGAGCTCCAGAAAGTAATATGTTTGGAGGAATCAATCTTTGATGAACAGGCATCCAGAAAAAAGATATTAAAGTGACTGTTTTGTTTTATAGTTATTTGTTTTTGTTTTTGTCAATTCCTCACAAGCTGTGTTCCAATATAATTAAAACCAATATGAGAGGATTTCAAAATACTAACTAAATAAAAGTATTTCATTGTAATCTTTGATATCAGTTGTAATGTCTCCTTTTTCCTTCTCGGATTTTATTTGTGTTTTCTCTTTTATCTCAATCAGTCTAGCTAAAGATTTGCTTATTCTGTATGTCTTTTCAAAAAAACAATTTCTGTTACTTCGTTCTTTTGTATTGTTTCTAGTCTATAGCTCATTTATTTCTGATCTCATCTTTGTTTTTTTTCCTTTTACCTATTTGTGAGTTTAGATTGTTCTTGTTTTTCTAGTCCCATAATGTTAGGTTATTTATTTGAGATCTTTCTACTTTTTTGATGCAGGCATTTATTGCTATAAACGTTCTTCTTAGAACTGCTTTTTCTGTATCTCATAGACTCTATTATGTTGTGTTTCCATTTTCATTTGTCTAAAATAATTTTTTTACATATACTTTGTAAATTTGTTTATTGATCCATTGGTTGTTCATGAAAATGTTGTTTCACGTCCATGTATTTGTATAGTTTCCCAAATTAATCTTATTAATTTCTAGTTACATTCCTTTTTGGTCAGGCTTGCTATGACTTTTATTTTTAAAATGTATTACGACTTGTTTTGTGGCCTAACATATGGTCTTTCCTAGAGTTGGTTCAATGTGCTGTTGAGAAAATGTGTATTCTGCAGCTGTTGGGTGGAATGTTCTGTAAATGTTTGTGAGGTCCACTTGGTCTAAAGTCCAGTTTAACTCCAACATTTGTTAATTTTCTGTCAAGCTAATCTTTCCATTGCTAAAAGTGGGGTGTTGATGCTCCTTATTATTATTGTATTGAAGTTAAACTCTCCCTTTAGGTCTTTTAAAATTTGTTTTATATATTTAGATGTTCCAGTATGAAATTCAAGTATGTTTACAATTGTTCTATCACCTTGCTGTATTGGCTCTTTTATCATTATGTAAAGACTTTTTTTAATATTTTATCATCTTTAACTTAATGTCCATTTTATCTAGTATAAAACAGAATAAAATCCAGTCATTTGAAGCAAAATAGATAAACTTGGAAGACATTATTTTAAGTGAAATAAGCCAGTCACAAGAAGACAAACACTGCATGAGCATATGAAAACACTGCATATGTAGTAGGCTGATTTTAGCAAATACAATGTATTGTATATTTCAATTCAGAAGAGCATATATGTAATTTGATTACCACAGAGAGATGATAGATGTTTAAAGTGATGGATATGACAAATACCATCACTTGATCATCATACAGTGTATGCATACACTGAAACTTCACGGTGGACCCCAGAAATACATACAATTTGTACGTCAATCACAAATAAAAATAATTAATACAAGAAGCATTTTTATACCTTTTCTTACAGAGCTCCAAAAAAATAAGTGTTCCAGTAATGAAATCATGAATCGAAGATTTTCAAATTCAAAAGGGAAAACTTGCTTTTAGAGTCCACCACTCATATTTGAAAAAGCATATTTTTAATATTGCCTTTTCACTAGGAAGGCCAATAATATTTCAAATTTCTATTATAAGATGGATTGAATAATCTAGGAAAATACAATTTGATATTAAAGCTATCAGGAAAATGTGTCATCTGTTATGAACTTTTATAATAGGTTTTAACTAAAGTTAGTTTGGATGCACCCAATTAGTAAGACACAATGTATCAATATTAGCCTCAGGCAATAGAGAAAACTGGACATCCTACATATAAAAATGTGCTAAGTCAGTAAAATGCAAATAGTACACGTCAAGCAGCATCTACTAATTAGACGAGAGCTGACATGGGACAATAAGTGAGGAAGAGAACCTTTTAAATTTCAGTGACAATTCAGGAAGACACAGTTACTAACAGGGTCATTTAGAGCTGCATTTAGTTTCACAGATGTATAAATTGTAAGACCATTTTACTTTGATGTCACCAACATAGTATAGCACAGATTACATAAAATACTCAAAGGCATTTTCTCATAATGTATTGATTGGTCTTGTTTAAAATAAGCATTTAATTCCTAGTGCATTTCATTATGATTGTCCAAATTGTGGGTTAACAAAGCACTGTGGTTTCTTCTGAATTATTTTTTGATCATTTTACTGATCACTGGGACTTCCACCAAAATACAAGACTATTTACATTCATGTTCTAAGTGTGTAGAAGGCTCTACCTTAAAAAAATAATTTTACTGATGAATTAAGAAAAATGCTTATTTTGGGCAAGTTTAATTATACTTTTTAAATTTAAATATATTTTGTAGTGAGAAAGGAAAATTTAGCTGTGTAAGGAAATACGCCAAGAAAGCTGTGAAATTTTAGGTTAAGAATTTCAAATTAGAAAAAATCTTGATGTAATTTCTTACAAATTTTCAAAAATTAATAAGATATAAAGGGTACAAACAATGATTGAGTTCAGAATAGTAAATGACTTTGGTCATTCAGAATTCAGGACTGACTAAGTTAAAACAAATATAGAACAGTATCAGAGAAAACTGTTAAAAAACATAAGACAAAAAGTGATTTCTGGTTGCAGGTCAAACATGTAAATAGCTTGGAAGTTTTCATTTCTTTATCACAAGATAAAAGCTGACCATGCTGAAAATCAACTCTTGTTAGATCAATCAGAGAAATGAGGTAACAGGTCAAACTGCTCTCTGAAAACTGGAGACAGCATCAGGCCAAGAATCTCAGCTTAATAGGAGCGGAAACCCACAACTGGGACTAATACACGTAGAAATATTTACACAATAATTGACTAACTTTTGGACCCTCAGTGTGGACTAGCTTGAGAACTAATAACCATATGGTTCCAGCCTTAAGAGGGCCCCCACACTTTTGTGAGATTTACCTCTAGGAACTCGACCAGGTTCTCAGGGCGAGTATCTGAGAAAAATTTCTTTAACCAACCTGGGGGACAGGAGTACTCAACTCCAGCCTCTCCTAGCCTTCCTGTCTCACCGAAGTCTGGGAAAAGGGGAGAAGCACTTGTAAAAAACACAGCCTAGGATCACAGGCTCACTAAAAACTGAAACACAATCACATGAGTATATAAAATGTTTTCTATCTCCACGTTACCACCACAACAATCGGGTTCCTGTATAGTAATAGTGGATTACCTCTAAACGAACCTCAATGCTCAGTCCTTATTTTTTTAAAAAATCAGGAAAACCCCAAGGTAATAGGAGAAAATGAAACAAAGGCACTAGTGGACATTTTAGTCCCTAACATCTACCACTATAGAGGACATAGCTCAACTCCTAGCCAGATAACACAAACTGTTACACTAAAGGCCTGTTTGGCTCAGTTTCATTTACTAGATAATCATGTCAAGCTTTCAACATAAAAATTACAAGACATTCTAAAAGGGGGAAAAAATAGTTTGAAGAGACAAAGCAAGCAACAGAACCAGACTCACAGATGGTAAGGGATCTATGATGGTTAATATTAGGCATCAACTTGACTGGATTGAGGGATGCTTAGATGACTGGTGAAGAATTGTTTCTGGCTGTGGCTATAAGGGTGCTTCCAGAGGAGACTGACATGTATGTCAGTGGACTGGAGGGGAAGACCTGCTTTCAGTAGCAGGTACTATGGAATCAGCTGCTGGAAATGCTAGAACAAAGCAAGTGGAGGAAGGAGGATATTCAGTTTGCTGAGCTTTCTCTCTCCCTTCTGAAAGGGGACACTTTTTCTCCTTTTGTCATTGGACATCAGACTCCAGGTTCTTTAGCCTGTGGCCTCTGAAATTTGCCCCAGTGACCTCCCAGGGTCTCTCAAGCCTTTGACCTCAGAATGTGGCCTGTAGTGTGGGCTCCCCTGGTTTTGAGGCTATCAGACTTGGACTGAGCCACGATATCGGGCTTTGTCATGCCCCAGCTTGCAGACAGTCTATTGTGGGACTTTACTTTTGTAATAGTGTGAGCCAATTCTTCCTAATAAACTCCCTACTCCTTTACTTTTGTTATAGTATAAGCCAATTCTTCCTAATATGCATTCTACTGGCTCTATCCCTCTGGAGAGACCTGACTAATAGAGAAAGAGGCTCTAATAGGCTCTAATAAAAAAAGTTGACAACATGAAAATAAAAGACAGGTAATGTAATCAAAGATATTAATGCTCTAAGAAAGAATCAAAAGAAAATCATAAAAGTCAAAGAGGATGAAGCAGAATGAATACTGTATTTGATGGTATCATCAGTAGACTGGACATGGCTGAAGAAAAAAATCAGTGAGCTGGAAGATACATCAATAAAAACTTCTCTAACTAAAAACAAAGAGAAAAAAAAGAAAAAAAATAGAAACCAGAATATCTAGAAAGAGAAGTAACTACAAAGTGTAACATACATATAATGAGAATATTTAAAATGAAGAAGAAAAAGACCAGGAAAGATTTGAAGTAAAATTGGCTCAGAATGACAATTACCAAACCACTGACCCAAGAAGCTCAAAACAAACCAAGTGGGATAAATAACAAAAAAATTGAATCTTGGGATATAATACTCTGATTACAGAAAATCAAAGACATAAATAAAAAAATTAAAGAAGCCATACTTTACCTGTAGAGGAACAAGGATAAGAATTACATTGGACTTATCAGAAACTGTGTAAACAAGAGGAGAGGAAAATAAAATATTAAAAGTGTTAAAAAAAAACCTAGCAACCAAGAACTGTGTGTCCAGTGAAATTTTCCCTCAGAAATAAAGGAGAAATAAAGACTTTCTCAGGCAAAAAAAAAAAAAAAAAAAAAAAAAGTTCGTCATCAGTGAATCTGCCAAGCAAGAAATCTTGAAAGGAGTTATTCAGAGAGAAGGAAACTGATATAGGTCAGAAACTCAGATTAAAAACAAAAAAAAGAAAAGAAAAGTTTATGAGAAAAAAATAATTAAGGATAGAATAAAATATCTAATTTTGATTCTTCTTAACTGATATAACAGATAATAATTTGCATTGGTGATCATAATTAAAGGATAAATGAAATGAATTACAACAATGATATAGAAGATAGAGAAGAGAAATTGGGAATACTCTGTTATAATGTATCTGCACTCTCTTTGGTGGAGAATAATGTTATTTAAAAGTGGATTTCGATTAGTTGTAAATGTATGTTGTAAACACCAAAGCCATCACTCAAAATAAAAGAAAAGTATCTTTAAAATAACCTACAGAAGACACTGTCAGAGTGGAAAAAGCAAAAATTCTAAACTACATGTTGACTACAAGAAATTCACTTTAAATTGAAAACACTGATAGATTAAGAGTAAAAAGAGGAATAAAGATATACTATGTTGACATTAATAACAAAAAAGCTGGAATAGCTGAATTAATTTGAGAAAAGCAGACTTCAGGCTGAAATTATTGGGGATAAAGAGGGGTATGACATAATAATGAAGAGGTTCTAGAAGAACCTCATATATAAAGATATAACAATCTTTATTGTTCATATATATCAAAAATATATAACAATCTTTATTGTTTATGTGACTAACAGTGTCAAAATATGTGAGGAAAAAACTGACAGAACTTCAATAAAAAATAAATAAATCTACTACTGTAGTTAGAAATTTTAACACATATTTATTAGTAATGGACAGATTTAGCAAGTATAAAATTAGTAAGCTTACAGTTAAAATGACCAGCAACATCAATCAAATTAATATAATTGACATTTATGGAATATTTTATCCAACAACAACTGAATTGACGTTCTCCTCAAGCACACAGGGAGCATTCATCAAGACAGACTATATTCCAGGCCATAAAACACACCTTAACAAATTTACAAGGAAAGAAATTAAACGAAGTATGCTCTCAGATCACAAGGAAATTAAACAAGAAATCAATAACAGAAAAATTACTGGAAAATCACCAAATACATTAAAATTTGAAACACACAACTAAATACCACACAGGTCAAAGAAGAAGTATAAAAAATTTTAAAATATTTTGAATTGAATAAGAAAAATCAATTTTTTCAATGCAGCAAAAACAGTGCTTAGTGGGAAACAACACATTGAATAAATACTTTTGGGAAGAAGAACAATCTAAAAATTATAATGTATTATTCCTCTGTAGGAAATTAGAAAAAGAGCAAATTAAATCCAAAGTAAGACAAAAAAAAGAAATAGTAAAAATTACAGCAAAGATTAGTGAAATTAATCACATGAAATCATTATAGAAAAATCAATCAAACAAAAACTCTTTTTTTTTGGAAAACGTTAAACTGACTAATCTCAAGGCAGGCTAATAAAAAAATGAAAAGAGAGAAAGAAGACACAAATTACTAATATCAGGGACGAAAGAGGACCCAATGCTATGCCCACAAATTTGAAAACTTTGATGGTATAAACCAATTTGTTTAAAGACACAAGCCACAACAACTCACACAAGAAAAAATATATAACCTAATAGGTTATAGCTATTAAATATATTAAATCAATGCTGAATAGTCTTCCAAAACAGAAAGTTCAGGTCCAGATGGTTTCACTGATAAATTATATGACACATTAAGGAAAAAAATAATACTTATCTACAATGTTTTCTAGTTAATCGAAGCAGAGAAAATACTTTTTTAACTCATTCTGTGTGGCCAGTATTACCATAAAAAGCAAAAATCAGACAATAAAAATTATTTTTCAAAAAGCACACCAATATATCTCATAAACATAGATGCAACGATTCTCAAAAAAATTATCAAACTGAATTTAACAATGTGTAAAAAAGAATTATACACCATAATTAAATCTACTTGATAAAGAATAGCTACCAAAAAAAAAAACTACGGCTAACATACTCAATGTTGAAACACAACAAGCTATTCCCCAAGTCAGAGACAAGGCAAGAATGTCTCCTCTCACCACTTTTATTAAACATTATACTGGACGTTCTAGTGAAAGAAATTTTTAAAAAGTAAATAAAAGGTATAAAGATCGAAAAGAAAGAAATAAAACCTCTGTTTGCAGATAACATGTTCATTCATGTAGAAAGTCCAAAAGAATAAAAATGTTCTCCGGGAAATAACAAACAATATATAAAGTTTTAAAGATATAAATTTTTAAATTACAACATTCATGTAGTTTATGTCAACAATTTATTGAAATTTAAAAATGAAAACACAGCCTGTTAGATTAGCACTGAAAACATGTAATACATAAATAAAGATCTAACAAAACGTGCAAAATCTGTATAAGTAAAACTGGAAAACTCTGATAAAATAAATCAAAGAAGAAATAAATGGAGAGATAATACACGTTTGTTTATAGGAAGGCAATATTGTCAAGATGACAGTTCTTCCCAACTTGATCTACAGAGGGTCAATGCAATCCCAATCAAAATTCCAGCCAGATATTTTGTGGATATATTGGCAAAATTATTCTATAGTTGATATGAAAAGGCAAAAGATCCAGAATAGCCTATGCATACTATATCGAAGAAGAATAACAAAGTTGGAGGACTGGCATTATCCATTTTTAATACTTACTGTAAAATCACAGTAATCAAGACAGCATGGTATGGGGAAAAATAGGTAAATATATCAATAATACAGAATAAAGGGTACAGAATTAAATCACAGATATATAGTTAACTGATTTTTGACAGAGGGGCAAAGGCAATTCATTGAAGAAAGAATAGGCTTTTTAACAAAAGGTGCTGGAACAACTAGACATTCACATGCAAAAAAAATGCTAGACACAATTTTTAAATCTTTCACAGATATTTACAAACATTAACATTAACTCAAAATGGATAATAGGGCTAAACTTAAAACACAAAACAATACAACTTGTAAAAGATAACATAATATCTATGAGAATTGGGTTTGTTGATGAATTTTAGATACAGTACCAAAAATATCATAAAAGAAAAAAAATGACAAGTTGGACTTCATAAAAACTTAAAACTGCTTTGTGAAAGTCATTATTCATAAAATTAAAAGACAAGCCACAAAGTGATAGAAAAATTTATAGAATACAAATCCAATAGAGGACTTGTATCCAAAATATACAAAGAACACTTAAGACATGACAATAAGACAAAAACTCAATTTATAAATGGAAAAAAGGTCAGAACAGACATCCAGCAAATAATATATCAACTAGCAAATTAGAAAACACAAATGCTTGACTTCCTACTTAATTAGGGAATTGTAAATTAAAACCACAATGAGATATCACTCCAAACCTATTAGAATAACTAAAGTCTAAAACACTGATGACATTATATGTTAATAAGAATGTAGAGCAACAAAAATTCTCATTCGGCCGGGCGCGGTGGCTCACGCCTGTAATCCCAGCACTTTGGGAGGCCGAGGCGGGCGGATCACGAGGTCAGGAGATCGAGACCATCCCGGCTAAAATGGTGAAACCCCGTCTCTACTAAAAATACAAAAAATTAGCCGGGCGTAGTGGTGGGCGCCTGTAGTCCCAGCTACTTGGGAGGCTGAGGCAGGAGAATGGCGTGAACCCGGGAGGCGGAGCTTGCAGTGAGCCGAGATCCCGCCACTGCACTCCAGCCTGGGCGACAGAGAGAGACTCCGTCTCAAAAAAAAAAAAAAAAAAAAAAAATTCTCATTCATTGCTGGTAGAAATGCAAAATGGTCCAGCCACTTTTAATTTACATAAACCTAGTCTTGCCTAATGATTCAGCTGTTGGTTGGTATTTGATATGGCTTGGCTGTGTCCTCACCCAAAATCTCATCTTGAATTGTATCCCCATAATCCCCATGTGTCAAAGGAGAGACCAGGTTGGGGGTAATTGATTCACCAGGACAGTTTCTCCCATGTTGTTGTTGTGATAGTGAGTGAGTTCTCATGAGATCTGATTTTATAAGAGGCTCTTCCCTCTTCGCTCATTTGCTCTCTCTCTCTCACCTGCCACCATGTAAGATGTTCTTTGCTTCTCTCTTGTATTCTGCCATGATTGTAAGTTTCCTGAGGCCTCCCTAGCCATGTGGAACTCTGAATCAATTAAAATTATTTCCTTTACAAATTACCTAGTCTCAGGTATGTCTTTATAGCAGTGTGAAAACAGACTAATACAGTATTTATCCAAATGAACTGAAAACGTATGTCCAAAAAAAATACACAAAACTTTATAACAGCTTTATTCATAATTTCCAAAACTTGGAAACAACCATGATGTTCTTCAGAGGTGAATGGATGAACAAATTGTGGCACATCCATGCAGTGAAATATTATTCAGCAATAAAAAATCTTCAGCTATCAAGACATGAAAAAACATAAAGGAAACTTAAATACATATTGCTTAGTGAATGAAGCCAGTCTGCAAGGGCTACATACTGTATGACTTCAATTACATCACATTCTGGAAAAGGCAAAACTATACAGACAGTAAAAAGTTTGCTAGTCACCAGGGATTTGAAAGAAGGAAGGAAGGAATAGGTGGAGATTTAAGGATTTTTAGAGCAGTGCAAATATTCCACGTGAAACTGTCATGGTGGATACACAACATTATGCATTTTTCAAAACTCATGCCACTATACAACATGAAGATTCAACCTAATGTTAAATATAAACTTTAGTTAATAATAATGTGCTATAATTAATTCTTTAATTTTCTTTAAAATTCTTCCATTGTACCACACTAGTGTAAGTTATTAAAACTATGGGAATCTGACATAAGAGGGGGATGGGATGAGTTATGAGGGAGAAAGAATATTACAACCCTCTGTACTTTCTGCTCAATTTTCTGTAAATCTATAGCTGCTCTAAAATCCTCTGTTATTTCAAAGCAAAACAACTTAAAAATCAGTGCATTAATAAAATTAAAAGAGATATCAACCAACCCATTTACCATACTCTAAAATGTATATATTAGTGTGTGTGTCGGGGGGATGGGAGTGACTATAGGGAGATAGATAATTTTTGTAGAAATAAATAAATACATTATATATTCTTTCTAAACAATCTGTTTTCCAGATAATGGTGATCAATTCTAAAAATTAACTTTCAATTATTAAGTGGGTATTATGAACACAGTAATCAAGCATGGGATAAAGGAAAACTTGATTTTACATCAAATAACATTGTTTTAAATACTGAGTCATGTAGTTAACTGCCATGTTCCTTTGGACTTAGTGTTCTCATCCACCAAATAAGATAGATAGTAATTATTTTCTTGCTCACAGTAATTGTTAATACCAGGGTCACATTTGAACATATATAAAAAAATCTTATAGGGAAGCTCATTTACTTTGATCAGTTAACCTAGTACTTATTCTGCAATGTCATTTCAGAAAAAAAAAACCCCAGAGATCTAAACCATTTGCTCGACAAAGCTACTGAGAGTCCATACTGTCCCAGGCAGTACAACAGACACTGAGGATATCATGGTGAGAAAGAGAGTCACGGTTCCAGTTCTAATATTACTGAGTCTGAAGAGGAAAACAGGTGTTAATGAAAGAGTTCCATTAATTCGTGTGAAATGGCAATGGTAGTTAAGTGCTGTAAGGGAGAACTGTAGGGCACAGTGAGAGAACATGATAATAGGATTTGTACTGGTCTTGACCTTGTGATAATAAAGACATAATGAGAAGCTCAAGAAAATGTAGTGGGATATAGAGACTGAAGCAGAACATCAACAACAATAACCACTAACCACAAAGCTACTATGGCAAAAAGAGACTGAAAGAAAAGAGCAAATAAAGAATGGTGAATAGTCAGTCAGATAAACAAAAGAAGAGAGTCCAAAATAGATCCCACTACATATCAGGATTATACCCAATTATATATTAAATTTAATATCCCACTAAAGGCCTGTGCACTACCTACCTAGTTATTTAAAAGAAAACTAAATTTGTATTTCTACCTAACACGTTGAACCAAACGTGCTCCAGGTGATGGATGATACAGGCACACCTTGTTTTATTGCATTTCACTTTATTGTACTTCACAGATATTACATTTATTTATAAATTGAAGGTTTACAGCAACCCTGTTCGAGCAATTCTATCAGTATTCCTTTTCCAATAGCATGTGTTCCCCTCATGTCTCTGTGTCAGCATCTTTTAGCAATAAGGTATTTTTAATTAAGGCAGGTACTTTTTAAAGACATAATGTTGCTATACATGTAATAAACTACAGCATGCTGTAAACATCACTTTTATATACACTTAGAAAATTTTAAAAAATTGTGACTCACCTTATTGTGATATTCACTTTACTGAGGTGATTTAGAACCAAACCTACAATATCTCCAAGGTATGCCTTTAGTTCATTTTCATTCAATAAAACTATAAAAATATAAAAATTGTAGGTGGAAATTTTAATCTTGAGATAAGAACATCGAAAGATGACTAGAAACAACATTTGATTGTTTTGAATTAATAAAACTTAATTTTATATAGCAAAGCCACATAAGACAACAGAATGTAAATGTCACTAGCATTTAAAGGATATGAGAAGAGATGTTTGACAAGAGATTGAGAGGCATTGTCAGAGAAACAATATGAAAAGTAGAAAACTATGATGCCTAAAAAGGTGAAAGAGGATTATTAAAAAAAAGAGTAGTCAAGAATATTATTGATGTCAATAATTCAAATTTTTAAAAAAGAGATAACTAAAGATATATCCAATAAAGTCAGCAACAGAGATAGCACATTGTACTATAATTTGTTGAACTAGACTATTTTAGACATAGCCATTAGAGAAGTTACAAAGCTCTGAAAATCTGTCATATGATTTCATTCACAAATTACATAGTGAAAAACGAATATTCAACTATGAACTTCAACTTCCTGCAGCCAACAGGGTAGATTTTCTGTTGAAAAGTAAATGTGGCACATTTATTTTGGACTCAATTGATATTTCCAATTCTTTTTCAAGTTATTATTACAGGCTCCTGCCTGTAATCCCTGCACTTTGGGAGGCCGAGGTGGGTGGATCACTTGAGGTCAGGAGTTTGAGACCAGCCTGGCCAACATGGTGAAACCCCATCTCTACTAAAAACACATAAAAAATTAGCTGGGCGTGGTGGCAGGCCCCTGCAATCCCAGCTACTCGGGAGGCTGAGGCAGGTGAATCGCTTGAACCTAGGATGCGGAGGTTGCAGTCAGCCAAGATCATGCCACTGCACTCCAGCCTGGGTTATAGAGTGAGACTCTGTCTCAAAAAATAAAAAAAAGTTATTATAATTGTATTATGTTTTTACCACAAAAGGCATCAGATGTTTTCATGAAACATCATATGAAAGTATATAGTTACAATGTAAATTTTCGTATCTTTGACAAATCATAGGGCAGCAGAGATTGAATCTCTGATATTTTCCTCTGCTTTTTGGGGATGCCCAACAGAGGGCAAAGAGAAGCTGGAGGTTGATCCATTTCTGACAGAATAATGAGCTCCAGCAAAATCCCACGGATATTACAGCCCAGGTATATGTGCGCTCCTCAGTAAATGTCAATGCTGTTTTTTAGGGACAAACATCAATCATGATCTTCTAATGTCAGCAGTATGGCATAAATGTTATTTGAAAAAGGGAAAAAGGGAAATAACCTTGGACAGATTATGTCAGATACATATGGACTCTTAATACATTTATGGATGAGTAAAGGGAAAAGACTATGTCAATGTTCTGTATTAATAAATTTCTAAGTAAAATAACAGAATTGTAGATAGCTCATCTGTGACAAGGAAGTGGCCTCATTCAGCCCACATATTTATGTTTCTCTAAGTAGCCCTCTTAAACAACTGTTATGTCCTCTTCCTTTGGAATCATACACTCCTTAAAACTACACCATTCTTTGTGCATATTGCGGCATTATTCACAATAGCAAAGACTTGGAACCAACCCAAATGTCCAACAATGATAGACTGGACTAAGAAAATGTGGCACATATACACCATGGAATACTATGCAGCCATAAAAATGATGAGTTCATGTCCTTTGTAGGGACATGGATGAAATTGGAAATCATCATTCTCCGTAAACTATCACAAGAACAAAAAACCAAACACCACATATTCTCATTCATAGGTGGGAATTGAACAATGAGAACACATGGACACAGGAAGGGGAACATCACACTCTGGGGACTGTTGTGGGTTGGGGGGAGCGGGGAGGGATAGCATTGGGAGATGTACCTAATGCTAGATGACGAGTTAGTGGGTGCAGCGCACCAGCATGGCACATGTATACATATGTAACTAACCTGCACATTGCGCATATGTACCCTAAAACTTAAAGTATAATAATAATAAATAAAAAATAAAAATTAAAAAAGAAGGTACCCATTAATCTTCAGCTGCATAGAATAGAATGATCAGAAATATTTTTTAGGAAGTTTATGAAATTTAGGTCAGAATAGACTAGACTCTCCTCTGGTAAAGGTCACTCTAATTGAAAATAAAAGTGAAAAAAATGGGACTATTTTCTTTATAGTTGACTTAGTTCAGGTTGCTACAATAAATTACCATAGAGTGGTGTTCTTAAACAACAAACATTTCTCATGGATCTGGAGGCTGGAAGTCAAAGATCAGGATGCCAGCATAACTGGGTTCTAGGTGAAGGCTCTCTTCCTGGTTATGTCCTCACAAGATCTCCCTTGGTCTTGGCATACCCATGCAGAGAGACAGAGTTCCCTAATCATCTCTTCTTGTTAAAAAGCATTAATCATAGTGCGAGATCCCTATCCTAACAACCTAATCTGCCAGTAATTCCCTCAAAAAGGCTCCACTTTGACATGTGAATTGGAGAGGGGGGAACAAATATTCAGTCAATGGTAATATTCTATATTTGAAACACCTTAAACTCCTTTTCTACAGATTTTTCTAGAAAATTATATTATAAACTTGGGTATAAATTTTCTGGTATATAAATTGACGTTGGTAGATTGTCAGTCAGAGTAGAACGTGAAGTTTGAACCTGAGTTACTTGACATCGATCCTTTTAAGCAAAGCTCTTTTCATTTCATCCCACTATTAGAAGATAATTTGGCAAATATGAGTCAAGATTGAGTTTTCTAATTTGAGATGATATCTCCAGGAGACTTTATAAATCAAAAAAATAATTTTACCATCCTTCTTCTGAACACTATTTGACCCAACACATTCTGGTGTTCCCAGTTATTTTCAAACTTTAAGGGAAAAACAGATTATAAATGTAAATTATATTCATATAGTCTATTCATAACGGTGCATTTTTCATAAACCATTCATTGTAAAGAGGGGTCTTATTTTTTAAAAAAATTGTGGTGAGTAATGCTGCATAACGATATAATTAAACTGGCAACTTCAGAAGTTATAATGTAACTACACTTTCAAAGTCTTGCCCTTTTCAGTCCAATGCATTCTTGATTACAGAACAAAAATATGCATCCAGATTTACTTACATTACATGTTTTCCTGTATTTTTTTCATAGTTTGACTTATTGGTTACAACCGAGCCAATTAAGTACAAGATGTTGAGAGAAAGAAAATGATAAATAACTTCAGCATGAGATTTAATTGTTGTAAAAATATATATAGGGATCAGTTTTTCCAGTGATAAAGCTACATTATTACTATTCACCAAACATGATTCTTGATCTTGGGGAAGCAAACAAGGAATTATTTAGCAACTGTGACTGAGTTATATCAGTTGTTTTACACTCTTTAGTAGAAGCATCGTGATATAACAACTCAAAAATTATTAACAGCTTCCGAGATGAAGAGATTTTTCTCTCTTCAAGTTTGAATAATCTCATCTAAAAATCTTTACATTGTCAACAACTAGAAAGACTAATCTCAACAATCTATATTAGCTAGGCCTAGATTAAGTGAGGTGAAATGAAAACTCAAATAAGCATTATTATTAATGTGAACAATCTTTCATTTTGAGTGAAGACATCAACAACCCAAATTGTTGCTGAATATTGGATGTTCAAAAAAAGCCCTAATAGCAACCTTTGTCTCATTTGATATATGAATAAACTCAGAAATATATAAAAAGAGTAGAGCATATCAGATTTTTAAACTGTTATTTTAGGTTTAGGGATGTATTAGTCTGTTCTCACATTGTTATAAAGAACTACATGATACAGGGTAATTTATAAAGAAAAGAGGTTTAATTGACTCACATTTCTGCAGGCTGTACAGGAAGCATGGCTGAGGAGGCCTAGAGAAACTTACAAATATGGTGGCAGGCACATCTTACATGGCTGGAGAAGAAGAAAAAGAGCAAGAAGGGGAGGTACTATCTACTTTTAGACAACCAGAGCTCATGAGAATTCACTCACTATCAAAAACAGCAATGGAGAAATCTGGCCCCATGATCCAATCACCTCCTACCAGCACCTTCTCCAACATTGGGGATTATAATTCCACATAAGATTTAGGCAGGGATACAAATCCAAACCATATCAGGGTACATGTGAAGGTATCTAATATAGGTAAACTTATGTCATGAGTGTTTGTTGTACAGGTTATTTCATCAGCCAGGTATTAAGCCCAGTACCCAATAGCTATCTTTTCTGCTCCTCTCCTTCCTTCCACCCTCCACTGTCAAGCAGACCCCGGTGTCTGTTGTTCCCTTCCTTGTGTTCAAGACTTTTGTTCATCACTTTGCTCTCACTTGTAAGTGAGAACAAGTGATACTTGGTTTTCTGTTACTGCGTTAGTTTACTAAGGACAGTAGCCTCCAGCTCCACCCATGTTCCAGCAAAAGACATGATCTCGTTTATTTTTATGGTTCCATAGTATTCTATGGTGTAACATGTACCACATTTTCTTTATAAAATCTGTCATTGATGGGAGTTTAGGTAGATTCCATGTCTCTGCTATTGTGAATAGTGCTGCAATGAATATTTGTGTGCATATGACTTTATGATAGAATGATTTCTATTCTTCTGGGTACATATCCAGTAATGGTATTGCTGGGTCAAATGGTGGTTCTGCTTTTAGCTCTTTGAGAAATTCATACTGCATTACACAATGGTTGAACTAATTTACAGTCCGACCAACAGGGTATAAGTTCTCCCTTTTGTCCACAACCTTGCCAGCATCTGTTATTTTTTTACTATTTAGTAAGCCATTCTGACTGGTGTGAGATGGTATCTCATTGGGATTTTGATTTGCATTTCTATAATGATCAGTGATATTGAGCTTTTTTAAATATATACTTGTTGTATGCATGTATGTCTTATTATGGAAAGTGTTTGTTCATGTCCTTTGGCTACTTCTTAACGAGGTTGTTTGTTTTTCTCTTATAAATATGTTTAAGTTCTTTAGAGATGCTGGATATCAGACGTTTGTCACATGTATAGTTTGTAAATATTTTCTTCCATTCTGTAGATTGTTTGTTTACTCTGTCAATAGTTTCTTTTGCTGTGCAGAAGGTCTTAAGTTTATTTGGATTCTATTTGTCAATTTTGTTTTTGTCATGGTTGTGTTGGGTGTCTTTGTCATGAAATCTATGCCCATTCCTACACCCAGGATAGTATTGCCTAGGTTGTCTTCCGGGGTTTTTATAGTGTTGGGTTTTACATTTAAGTCTTAATCAATCTTGAGTTGATTTTTGTAAATGCTGTAAGGATGAGGTTCAGCTTCAATCTTCTGTACATGGATACCCAGTTATCCCAAGACCATTCATTGACTAGAAAGCCTTTTCCCCATTGCTTGTTTTTTTTTTTCTGTCAGCTTTATCTAAGATCAAATAATCATAGATTTGTGGCCTTATTTCTAGGCTCTCTATTCTGTTCTGTTGGTCCATGTGCCTGTGTTTGTGCCGGTATCATGCTGTTTTGGTTACTGTAGCCCTGTAGTGTAGTTTGAAATTGGGTAAGTTGATGCCTCCAGCTTTGTTCTTTTTTCTTAGTATTGCCTTGGCTATTTCAGTTCTTTTTTGGTTCCCTATAAAATTTAAAATAGTTTTTTTCTAATTCTGTGAAGAATGTCATTGGTATTTTGATGGGAATAACATTGAATCTATACATTGCTTTGTTCAATATAGCCATTTTAATAATATTGATTCTTCCTATCCACGAGCATGGAATATTTTTCCATTTGTTTGTGTCTCCTCTGTTTCCTTAGAGCAGTGTTTTGTAATTCTCAGTGTAGAGGTCTTTTACCTCCCTAGTTAGCTATATTCATAAGTATTTTATTCTTTTTGTGGCAATTGTATGGGATTGCCTTCCTGATTTGGCTTTCGGCTTGGCTGTTGCTGATGTATAGGAATGCTAGTGATTTTTGTACATTGATTTTGTATCTGGAATTTTTGCTCAAGTTGTTTATGAGTTGAAGGAGCTCATTGGCTGAGACTATGAGATTTTCTAGATATAGAATCATGTCATCTACAAACAAGGATAGTATGACTTCCTCTCTTTCTATTTGGATTCCCTTTGTTTATTTCTCTTGCCTGATTGCTCTGGCTAGGACTTCCAATACAATGTTGAATAGGAGTGGTGAGATGGGGTGTCCTTGTCTTGTGCTTGTTTTCAAGAGGAATGCTTCCAGCTTCTGCCCATTTAGTATGGTGATGGCTATGGGTTTTTCATAAATGGCTCTTATTATTTTGAGGTACATTCCTTCAATACCTAATTTATTGAGAGTTTTTAACATGAAGGAGTGTTGAATGTTATTAAAAAGTTTTTCTGCATCTTTTGAGATAATCATTTGCTTTTTGTCTTTAGTTCTGTTTATGTGATGAATCACACTTGTTGATTTGTATATGTTGAACCAAACTTGCATCCCAGGGGTAAAGCCATTTTGATCATGATGGACTAGCTTTTTGACGTGCTGCTGGATTCAGTTTGCAAGGAATTTGTTTGATAATTATTTTGCATCAAAGTTCATCAAGTATATCGGCCTGAATTTTTATTTGTGTGTGTGTATCTCTGACAGGTTTTGGTATCAGGAAGAGGCTGACATCATAGAATGAGTTTGGGAGGAGTCCCTCTTCCTCAATATTTTGGAATAGTTTCAGTCAAAATAGTACCAGCTAGTCTTTGTACATCTGGCAGAATTTGACTGTGAATCCATCAGGCCCTGGACTTTTTTTTGGTTGGTAGGCTATTTTTTATTAATTCAATATCAAAATTCATTATTGGTCTATTCAGGAAATCAATTTCTTCCTGGTTCAGTCTTGGGAGTGTGTATGTGTCCAGGAATTTATCCTTCTTTTCTAGGTTTTCTAGTTTGTGTGTTTAGAGGTGTTTGTAGTAGTTTCTGATGGTTATTTTTATTTCTATGGGGTCAGTGGTAATTGTGTTTATTTGGATACTCTCTCTTATTTATTAGTCTAGCTAGTGGCTTATCCACTTTATTAAGTTTTTCAAAAAGCTAACTCCTAAATTTGTAGATCTTTTCAATGGTTTTTTGGTGTCTCCATTTCCTTCAATTCAGCTCTGATTTTTGTTATTTCTTGTTTTCTTCTAGCTTTGGGTTTGATTTGTTCTTGTTTCTCTAATTCTTTCAGTTTTGATATTAAGTTGTTAATTTTAGATCTTTCTCACTTTTTATGTGGGCATTTAGTGCTATGAATTTCCCTCTTAACACTGCATTAGCTGTGTCCCAGAGATTCTGGTAAGTTGTATCTTTGGTCTCATTAGTTTCAAAGAACATCTTGATTTCTGCCTTAATTTCATTATATATCCCAAAATGATTCCAGAGCATGTTGTTTAATTTCCTTGCAATTGCATGATTTTGAGTGATTTTCTTATTCTTGACTTCTATTTTTATTGTGCTGTGGTCTAAGACTGTTAGGTATGATTTCTATTCTTTTGCATTTGCTGAGGATTGTTTTATGTCCCATAATGTGGTCAATTTTAAAGTATGTTCCATGAACAATGTCTTGAAATATGTTTTCCAAGTTGTTTACTTTTTCCCCCTCCCTTCCAAGGATGCCGGTGATTCATAGATTTGACCTATTTACATAATCCCATACTTCTTGGGGGTTTTGTTTATTCCTTTTAGTTCTTTTTTTCTTTATTTTTGTCTTACTGTGTTATTTCAGAGAACCATTTTTCAAGTTCTGGGATTCTTCCTTCAACTTGGTTTATTCTGCTGTTAATACTTGTGATTCATGTGAAACTCTTGTATTGTGTTATTCAGCACTGTTAGATCCACTGGGTTCCTTTTCATACTAGCTATTTCATCCTTCAGCTCCTGTATTGTTTTATTGTGACTTTTAGTTTCCTTGGATTGAGTTTTGCCATTCTCCTGAGTCTCAGGGATCTTCATTTCTATCCATATTCTGAATTTTATTCCTGTCATTTCAGCAAGCCCAGCCTGGTTAAGAACTCTTGTTGGAGAACTGATGTGGTTGTTTGGAGGACATACAACACTCTGGCTATTTGAGTTACCAGAGTTTTCACTGGTTGTTTCTCATCTCTGCATGTGGATGTTCTTTTTACTGCAGTGTAGAATGAGTATAGTTACTAGACTTCTTTTCTGGACATTTTCACAGGGCTGATGCTTTGTGCAGGGTCTTTATCTGAAGCTGACTTCTTGTCTCTGGATTCAGATGGGGATATGTTAGTGAGGTATTTTTGGTATTGAATCTTTGGAGTGTGATCCAGTACATGACACTTAGGCATTTGTTCAGTTATTAGACTCTTGCTCAGTTGTGACTCCCCTATATTTTCTCAGTTGTAGCCATGTTCACTCTCAGTGCTCTAAAAATGTGGGTTCTTCTCAAGTGCTGGCTATAGATCGTGACTTGGCACCCCTGGGCTGCCCACTGTAGCTCTGAGGTGGTTTCAGTGTTTATGTTGCTACCCCAACTTGGAGGCAAGAGTAAGGAACCTTAGTATGGCTGTGACCAAAGATCTTTTGCTTGTCTCCCAAGCGTTCTAACCCAGGGAGTCGCAGGTCAGCAATTGCTCAGTGCAATCAGTCCAAGATGGAGAATCTGTGCTGTAGGCCCAAGCTGGGGGCTCCCTGTTTGGTGATAAGCAGGTGGGGGTAAGTGGGACCCATGGGAAATGAACTGGCCTTCTTTCCTTCTGTTTACTGCAGCTGTTTGTAGGTGTGGGTAAGGCATTTAGGGTATTTCCTTCTTCATTAGTTCAAGGGTGGCAAGGGCAGTTCCACTACAGAGAAAGTGGCAGAGAGGCTTTCAGTTGTTCCTGGGTTCTGCCCAGTAACTTGCAGAGCTGCTACTGGCTCATAGCTCTGGCAGGGGGAGGCTGGTGGCCTGGAGGACCTGCCCAATAAGGAGATGTGGGAACAATCACCCATGTAGCAGTCTGACCACTTTTTCGTAGGGCTTCTGAAGTATTCTGGGGGCCCACTGCAGTCTTTAGTCACCTCAGATTTTCCAATACCTGGAGATATCAACAGTGAAGGCTTCAAAACAGCAAATATGGTAGTCTGTCTCTCCCTTTGGGATCTCTATCCCAGGGAGGCATGAACCTATTGTTGGCTCGAATGCACCTATAGGAGGTGGCTGTAAACCTCAGTTGGGAGGTCCTTTCCAGTGAAAAGGAATGGGATTGAGGGCCTTCTTCAAAAAGTAATAGTAGTCTGACTATGTTTTCATAGAGCAGGTGTGCTGTGCTAGGGTATCATGTCTCCCCTCAGTTGGCTTGGACTCTCCAAAGCCTGAAGAATGAAATGGCTAAATCACCCAAACAGCAAAGATGGTGGCCTGCCTCTCTCTCTGGGAGTTTTGTCCCAGAGAGGTTTCAAATCTCTGTTGGCCAGAAAACACCAGTGTGAGTGGCTGGAGACTCCAGTTGAGAGGCTCCACCTAGAGAGGAGGAATAGGACCAAGGACCTGCTTAAAAAAGCAGTCTGGTCACATTTCTGTAGAGCAGTTGTGCTGTGCTGGGGATCGCTTCAGTCCTCAGTAGGCTTGGACTTTCCAAACCCGGAAGGCTGGAACAATTAGATCACCCAAACTGCAAAGATGGTGGCCACTCCTTCCCCTGAGAACTCTGTCTCTGGGAGGTGCAACACTGCTACCAGTGACTGGCTGGAATTTCAAGCCAATGGGTCTTATCCAGTGAGGTGCTGTGGAAGCAGGGCCTGTAGACTGTTGCTGCTGAGCTTCCTGGATTCAGCTGTTTCTTAGGGGTATGTACAGGGGTCTAACTTCCTGCTTTGCCAGGGTTGCAGCTACTTTTTCTGGGAAGCCCAGAAACCCTGGGTATCTAAGGCTCCCTGCTCTCTATGTGTCTTGGTGGCTGCTCTGCTGAGACTCCATGTAGTTGTGTGTGTCAGACTGAAGGCTCTGGTGGAGTGGGTTCACAAGGGTATCTCCTGACCGAAGGATTGCAAAGATCCATGGGAGAAGTGTGGATTCCTGGGGTTGTACATTCACTCACTGCTTCCCTGGGTGGCGGAGGTTCCCCTGGCTCCATGTTACTCCTGGGTGGGCCATCGTCCAGTCTTGTTTTTCTCCGTTCTCCATGGGTCAAGTTGTTTTCTTGATCAGTCTCAAGGCATGATTAGTCCCAAGGGTGTTTCAGTTGAAGGTGTGTATTCTCTCTTCGTTTCTATTCCTCTCCACGAGAGCTGTGTACACTAGTTGCCTCTAGTCGGCCATCTTCACAAATCAGATTTACCTTTTCACCCAATAAAGCAGACATTGGAAAGTGGGGCTTATATGAATGGGCAAATTGATCCTAGCCCAGAGTCCTAGAATTAGACAGACTTCCCAATGCAGTAACAAATATTACTATACCACGTTAGCCTGCTTCTACTTCTAACCCAGTCAGAGCAGGGGCTTTATGTTTAAGCTTACAATTTAGACAAGCAACTGAGAAGGAGGTAGAACTAGCTAGGCTCAGTTCTTTACTCTTAAAACTCTGAATAATCATAAGAAAGTATAAGAAAGTAGAGTGTCATACTAAAGAACATACCTTCACATGGAGGGAATATTAGGGGAATAGTGAATAAGTTTCACTTTCATCTCCACTTGCTCACAATTTTAGTTAAGCTCTTTTATTTGCATGCCAGCTCTCTGTGTTAAAATCTTACCCATTTATTGACATGAAATACATCTCTTCATTAAAACTTTCACAAACTAAATGTCATATTTTCTGTAATCAGCTATGGGACTATTTACCAGTATGTTAAGAGTGCACCACTATGTTCTCACTTCTAACTATTTATCTATCTAATATATGCGTGTATGTATACATATATATTTATACATATATGTGTGTATATATAGAGAGAGAGTGTAAAAGCGGGAGATGTCTAATTTCCCCTAATAAGTGTTGTTAAAACAAAAGCCATATTTTTGTAAATGAATCACTTTAGTGCTAGTATGAATTAATTTAGTAGTTAGCATTTCCAATTTCAGAAATGATTATTAGCAATCATCACGGGGTTGTATTTTTCACATAATGTGTATATTATATTATCCTATATACATGCCTTTAGAATTTAATTTTTTTCTAATTGTTTCTACAGAAATTTCTCTCTGTATATCTTAAATATGTTCATTGCATGCTTTTACAATACTTGCTATATGGCAGACCTTAGCTATATTCTTTAACCCTCAACACTTATTTTGTGTACTTCAGACAATGCTGTAGAAGTAAAAATGATTAATTCTTAATTGCTCTCACTCAAACTGACATATATTCCATAAGTGTTTCTCGTATAGCACTGACGTGCTTCATTTATCAATATGTATGTGTGTGTATACATTTTCAAGAACCCATTTATATATCTTAAATCTTTGTCAAATGAAAATGCACTAAAATATCTTTTTGATATAATTCTTTCTTTGGAATGAAATAATCATAATTCAAGTCCCAAATCACTTTTATAGTAAATATTTGATAGTGGATATACTTCAGTGAGTTGTTTGGAACGAAAATATCAATAAACATATATTCTCATTTAGTGCATGACTACTAAATAAAATTTCTCTATTGATATCAAAATAAATTAGTCTCATATTCAGAGATAAGTAATTATAGTATCTATAGGTGATGATTTTAAAGCTAAAATCTTATAATTACAAATTTAGATTGTACTTTAAAATGATGAAATCCTTTTAAAATTGATTTATAAAAAATTATTTTATAATTATGTTCTTTAAAAATATTCTGGTTATAGTTATTAAAATATTTACCTTTCATCAATTAATATCTATAATAAAAAATAGAAGTGTACATTTTAATATCATTTTTATTGAGTTCATATTTTTCTTATTCATCTCTTCAACCCCTAACATATATATACCATAAATATTTGCCTTCAGATTTGCATATTAGCCTAGTAAGTTATTTTAGTATAACTACTAAATTTATAATGTAAACTATGAAGTACAAAGGAAATTTTAGGATTATAATCTACTTCATATATAAATAAAATATCATTGATTTAAAAAACAAAACTCAAACAAAATTTAGCTAAATAATAAAAAGTAAAATATAAAATATATAAAGAAAAATATAGTTCTGCAACTGACTTTTTTGTTGAAACTTCAAGCACTGTTGGATTTTTTTTTGTATTGATAGTAACAGAATAGTTTGCAGGTAAAGATTTCTTCAGATTAATGGGAGAAACTTCCAATCTCTTCCAGTTATTTAATTTACTAGTAAATAGTTCCATTATCTAAGATTTATATCAATCCTAAAATCTTGAGTTTTAATTCTGTCAAGTAACTTACTTGCTATCTGAGCTTCTTGAATTCTACCTCCTCCAAAGAACGCAAATAAAGATGTTAAAGTCAATGGAATCAGGACTGTATAAAGTATAAACTAACAAATTCAGCTCTATAAAATGTAAAAGATAATGATTTAAAACACAGCCTAAAATGTCATGTTAATGAGGACACAACAGGAAAAATAAATTCTTGTTTAGGTGACATGTGTTCATGGAGAAATGTCTTCTAAATCGAATCCAACTTTCTAAATATTCAAGCGGAGTGCATGAATCAATGCATTTCTCAACTGAGTAAGACAGTCATTCAGCCATTACTAAGATGTGTGGGACCAGAAGCTTATCATTTTTTTCTCTTCTTCTAAGCCATTGTTCATAAAATGAGTAATAATAAATTCTGAGGAGGAGGTAAACACTCAAAAATAGTTTAGCAACTGTAATGCTTGTGTCAACTCCTCACTGTCCCAGCTTGACGTATCCCTACATAGAGCTTCTTATATAACTATTGTAGGGGCAAAAAATTCCCTATTAGTCAAAAACCGATTTTTTTTAGTGCATTAAAATGAATCGCTAAAAGAATAAAATTTTAAAAGATATACAAAATACAAGCCAAAATGTTACCAGTAAATTCAAAAACTTCCCACCTATTTCCCAATGAATATAATCAGAATAAACATAATATAGGGAAAATGAAAAGATAATTAGAAAAAAGATACATGTTTTTTATCGAAAGAGTGCTTGCACGCAGTTGACAAAAAGAATCCCTATCACATCCCAACATATTGTGATTCCACAATTACAAGTAAGCATATCTTCTGAATTAAATAGAAGTTCCTTTTATAAAACACCTATATTAACACTGATAAAAAGTATGTATCAATATTAAAAAAACTTTAGTGTGACAAATTGCCTGACTTCTTGCTTGTTAATTTGTCAAGTCTGAGTTTAATTGACAGCGCGATTCTCAGGGATAATGTATATACAACCTGTTAACTTCATAGTAGAGAAGATAATCCTACTAAGTTATGTTGATAGAAATAAAACATAGTATAAAGCAATTTTTGCAACTTCAGGATATTCATTTTTTATTTATATTTAAAATGAAGCAAGAGCGATGCTCTTTTTATTATTGTCTTGGTTATTTATTAAGCATCTTTAAAAAGCAGCTGTACTACTCTTTAAAAAGAGCTGTACTAGAAAAGACAAGTAAAAATTCATACTTTCTGTTTATTATACATGTTCATTAGGTCCAAAGAATTTATTCAATATTTTAGAGCAGAAATGTATTTTAGAAATCAATTATTCCAAATCTCTCTCTTTCAGATGAGAAATATCAACTAAGTAGCAGATTAATTATTAAGCACTAAGCATCTGTTGATGATTGCTTTCAAAGACAGCTGTAAGAATTATTCCCATCCTACTTGCCCTTTTGCAATGGAATTTGTCATTTCTTCGAATAACAGGTGGTATCTATTTTTCCTCTATTGAATCTTGGTTGGTCGTTTGATTTGCTTTTACCAGTAGAATGAGGCAGAAATTACTTCTGAGAGTAAGTTTTCAGAGGTCTTGTAACTTCCTTTTTCACTCTCTTAGGAAGGCTCAGCTACCATATAAAGCAATCTAGACTGTCATGCTGGTGAGGCTAGATGGAAATAAATACCCTGAAGGTTGGTAGAATGCAAAACTACAAGGAGAGAAAAGCTCTGAAGGATAAGAGCCTATGAGGAAAGAGAGGTTTCAGCACTCCAGCCATCCTAGCTATAGGGTCAGATATATGAAGTAATAATGATACTCCACCCTCAATAGGGAGCAGAGAAAACCCATCCTAATTAAGCTTCTTCAAATTCCTGATCCATAAGATAAAATAAAATGGCTGTTGTATTAAGCCACTTAGTTTTGGAATGATTTAAGTCACTAAATTTTGGGGGTAGTTGCTCTTAAGTTATAAATACCTGAATCTAACGGCGCCAAGGAGGTAAGCAATTCAATGGCAAATAAGAGATAGCGTGTATTTATAAGTACACTGCCAAGAGATGATTAGTGATAAATTCATATGCAATTAGCTCTAAGAATGTTATAAGCAGCATACTGATGTAAATTCAAAATGTCATTGGAATAGAGGACAGTTAAGTGAGTAACGCATCAGCAAACTTTTTTTTTTACTTTATTATTATTATTATTATTATACTTTAAGTTTTAGGGTACATGTGCACAATGTGCAGGTTAGTTACATATGTATACATGTGCCATGCTGGTGTGCTGCACCCATTAACTCGTCATTTAGCATTAGATATATCTCCTAAAGCTATCCCTCCCCGCTCCCCCCACCCCACAACAGTCCCCAGAGTGTGATGTTCCCCTTCCAGTGTCCATGTGTACTCATTGTTCAATTCCCACCTATGAGTGAGAATATGCGGTGTTTGGTTTTTCGTTCCTGCGATAGTTTACGGAGAAAGATGATTTCGAATTTCATCCATGTCCCTACAAAGGACATGAACTCATCATTTTTTATGGCTGCATAGTATTCCACGGTGTATATGTGCCACATTTTCTTAGTCCAGTCTATCATTGTTGGACATTTAGGTTGGTTCCAAGTCTTTGCTATTGTGAATAGTGCCGCAATAAACATATGTGTGCGTGTGTCTTTATAGCAGCATGATTTATAGTCCTTTGGGTATATACCCAGTAATGGGATGGCTGGGTCAAATGGTATTTGTAGTTCTAGATCCCTGAGGAATCGCCACACTGACTTCCACAAGGGTTGAACTAGTTTACAGTCCCACCAACAGTGTAAAAGTGTTCCTATTTCTCCACATCCTCTCCAGCACCTGTTGTTTCCTGACTTTTCAATGATTGCCATTTTAACTGGTGTGAGATGGTATCTCATTGTGGTTTTGATTTGCATTTCTCTGATGGCCAGTGATGGTTAGCATTTTTTCATGTGTTTTTTGGCTGCATAAATGTCTTCTTTTGAGAAATGTCTGTTCATGTCCTTTGCCCAGTTTTTGATGGGGTTGTTTGCTTTTTTCTTGTAAATTAATTCAACAACACTTCATGCTAAAAACTCTCAATAAATTAGATATTGATGGGACGTATCTCAAAATAATAAGAGCTATCTATGACAAACCCACAGCCAATATCATACTGAATGGGCAAAAACTGGAAGCATTCCCTTTGAAAACTGGCACAAGACAGGGATGCCCTCTCTCACCACTCCTATTCAACATAGTGTTGGAAGTTCTGGCCAGGGCAATTAGGCAGGAGAAGGAAATAAAGGGTATTCAATTAGGAAAAGAGGAAGTCAAATTGTCCCTGTTTGCAGATGACATGATTGTATATCTAGAAAACCCCATTGTCTCAACCCAAAATCTCCTTAAGCTGATAAGCAACTTCAGCAAAGTCTCAGGATACAAAATCAATGTACAAAAATCATAACCATTCTTATACACCAATAACAGACAGAGACCCAAATCATGAGTGAACTCCCATTCACAATTGCTTCAAAGAGAATAAAATACCTAGGAATCCAACTTACAAGGGACTTGAAGGACCTCTTCAAGGAGAACTACAAACCACTGCTCAATGAAATAAAAGAGGATACAAACGAATGGAAGAACATTCCATGCTCATGGGTAGGAAGAATCAATATCATGAAAATGGCCATACTGCCCAAGGTAATTTATAGATTCAATGCCATCCCCATCAAGCAACCAATGACTTTCTTCACAGAATTGGAAAAAACTACTTTAAAGTTCATATGGAACCAAAAAAGACCCCGCATCACCAAGTCAATCCTAAGCAAAAAGAACAAAGCTGGAGGCATCATGCTACCTGACTTCTAACTATACTACAAGGCTACAGTAACCAAAACAGCATGGTACTGGTACCAAAACAGAGATATAGATCAATGGAACAGAACAGAGCCCTCAGAAATAACGCTGCACATCTACAACTATCTGATCTTTGACAAACCTGACAAAAACAAGCAATGGGGAAAGGATTCCCTATTTAATAAATGGTGCTGGGAAAACTGGCTAGCCATATGTAGAAAGCTGAAACTGGATCCCTTCCTTACACCTTATACAAAAATTAATTCGAGATGTATTAAAGACTTAAACGTTAGACCTAAAACCATAAAAACCCTAGAAGAAAACCTAGGCATTACCATTCAGGATATAGGCATGGGCAAGGACTTCATGTCTAAAACACCAAAAGCAATGGCAACAAAAGCCAAAATTGACAAATGGGATCTAATTAAACTAAAGAGCTTCTGCACAGCAAAAGAAACTACCATCAGAGTGAACATGCAACCTACAAAATGGGAGAAAATGTTCGCAACCTACTCATCTGACAAAGGGCTAATATCCAGAATCTACAATGAACTCAAACAAATTTACAAGAAAAATCAGCAAACATTTTACAAAAGAGGTGATAATAGAGTCAAATTTCACTCAGCCTTTCATTCATCCATCATACATGTAATGGGTGTATCACCAGTGCTCTGCAACAATATGTACAAGTGAGAACATCGTGTTTTGTTTACAGAACTATGTTGTAAAAACTGGATTGAAGGATTCTGTGAAGAATTAATGGGATATGAACTTAAAAAATTAGATAGGAACTAGATCATAGAAGATTTTGAAACTATTCCAAATACTTTAAATTTATGTTTTTGTAAAATGGGGTGATACTTCAGAACACCACTGGAAGGGATCATTTGAAATGTAAACAATGAAGTCTAGACTCTTCTGAGAAAGAATCAACAAAAGTCAGTTGTTGATTGGATCTACTACAAGAAGAGGATTGATGAAGGAAAAATCAATACACTCTGCACTACAGATTCTGTATCATTTTGAAACTAATCATAAAACATTCAAGTGCTAGATTTTAATAAAAGCATAAAAATCAATTTAGTTTTAATTTTCCTAATGCAAATGTATCTTAACATTCTGAGATTGGAATTACTTATTTGTAAGTCAAAAACTGCAAAATTTCTATTGACATATAAAATTATAGAATGGTCCTTTGATATGAAATGAACTGTTTAACAATTTGGTGAGCAAATAAAACTAGAGACAAATTTTAAGCATTTTTTTTTACCATTTCAGATTTATTTGATTTGACCATTAATCATTCTGTTATTTAAGATTTATGAAATACAACAATATCATTTATATTTTCCTTATACAAAAATAAGTTTTGAGTTAGATATAGAAGAATTATGGGTCTAATTCCCTTTTTCACAAGTTAATGTACTAAACAATGAATCATTCACAAAGGTGCTGTACTCCCAATATCACATATTTACAGTAGTTTTTGACAATAATAAATGAAGTTTGCTTTAGGAAGAATGGCATATTGAAATTGCTAAAACTGAATTTTTACTCAATATAAGTTTAATTATAAAAGAGAGCTTCAGTTCCTGGTTGGGAAAAAAGAAACTACCCATCATATTGCAAATTTTATCAGCTCATAGTTGTATAAAACTAAACTATTTCACCCTGCATAATATAAAAGTTTAAACATAACAAAGTTTTTGCAAAACTCTAAAGTATAACATTATTGATAACGAATACATTGAGCTCAACTCATGGCCTTCTCTATGATGAATGATGTGGATTACTAGAATATTATTTCTAGGAAAAACCTATTTCACTATCTAATGTACAATACTGATAAAGTGTTATTTTATTCTGTATTATGTTCTTATTCTTGTACTCTCTTTTCATATTCATATTTAAACAACTTGTTTTATTATATAAATACATTGCCTTTATTTAAATATTTATATTTATATAATATCCTACTGATCTTAAAGCATGGATTGAGCATATTTCATTTACCCATTTTAATTTGTCTCTTCAATAACTGAACTATTTTTGTGCCTTCTCACTAAATTAATCTGATTGGCAATAAATTCCTCAAAATGTAGTGCTCTTTTAAATAATAGAACACACCAGCTAAAGTCATGTAGTTGTAAGGTATTCTGACAATATGTTTGCAAATAATTATTAAATGTATACCAAAACAATAAGTTAAATTCAATAAAGAACAGCAAAGAGAGAAAAACGTTTTAATGATTTAGCTTATATAAAAGATAAAATGTATTATATTTGACTTCTGGTGAAATACATTGAATTAGAAATATATTTTTTTCTCTTTCTATCTTGTATTAGCAATAAATTAGACTAAAGCAGTAAACTGTTATTAACCCAATATTCAATATAAACTGAGAGGGAAAAGTCCTATAAATGATATCAACAAGTTTAGAGAAGATTGAAAACATCCAAAGAAGCCCTGGAGTTGAGAAAGTTTAATTCCAAATGCTTGCAAGAGAAAAAAGCAAGTTCTTATAACAGGAAACATGCTGAGAATGCGCAGGAATTAAAAGTATCAAGTGTCTTTGAAAGAGAGGAATGGGGGAATCCTAAGAAATTGGTTGAAAGTCAAAGGGCAATTAGAACCCCCAATTTTTTCCTACATCTAACACAGTGAGCCAATTCTCTGCACCCCCTTTCTACTGAGAGACAGATATTTTACTAAACTATAAATCATTCAGAGTCAGGCAAATCATGAATAAGAGAGGACAGGGAAATACATTTTAGAGAGAACAGATACATTAATTAAAAGCCAAGTTTCTAAATGAACAGTGGCCAGGCAGCCTTCTCTTGCTGCAAATCTCCAAGAGCACTGGGTATTCTTCAGAGTCCCACATCACCCTCTTCCTCCCCCTGCCAACACACAGACACACACACACACTCACGTGCAAGTGTGCAGACACACACACAAACATATTTATCATAGAGGAAACTGTGGCTTCTTCTTTGAAGAATCCAAGCAGGCAAAGACAACATCTATACATTCTAAAATTTGTCCATATTCCAATGAAATAGTGGAACTCCCAACAGCTCACTCCATGAGAAAACCCACCACTTAGTAAATCCGGTACAAAGAGATTCCAGTCAATTACTTGGTGTCTCAGTTTTAAATATGATTGGTTGGCTAACAATTACCTGACATTTGAGCAAAGAATTTAATATGAAAGGTAAACACTTGGGAGAGAGAGAGAGAAAGAAACACAGACGAAGGAAAAACAAGAAATAAAGTATAATAAATATTTTAAAATTAGAAATGGCATAATCAGATAAGTTGACATTCATCATAAAACCTCAATGGGATTTATAATGAATAAAATGATTAAAAAATTATCCTTCAGATATTAAATATATGACAAAGATTAAGGATGTTGAGGGCTAAATTTTAAGAGATTTATAGATGAGAGTTTAACAGAAAAATATAGAAGTATAAAAAAATCTTTAAAAGTTACAGACCCTACAGTGATCCTATATTCAACTAATAAAAATTCTTGGAACTGAAAATAGAAAAACTGAAAATAAATCAAATAAATAGTATAAAAAATTCCCAGAAATATGAGCATAGGTATCCATGTTGAAATAGTGCACTGAGTATCTTACCAATGAATAAAAATAAATAAAATTACATTATTATGAAATTTCACAGCAGTAGAGAAATTTCCAAGAAGAGAAGGAGCTAGAAAAAGCAACAGTGAACAGGAATTGGAATAGCACTCTCAGCAGCAAAGATAGATGAGACAAGGCAGTAAGTATATTGCCTCCAGAAGTCTGGAAAGAAATCAGGAGCGACCTTTCTTAGTTAATATCTCCATTAGGTATAAAAGATGTTTTGTTTGTTTGTATGTTTGTTTCTTTTTGTTTTAAAGCAATGTGAGATTCTTTTAAGGCATTTTGAGATATCCTTTATTTCAAAAACATAACTACCTGTACATTTTTTCTCTTAACCCACCAGAGGCTGTGTGTTGTTCAAAATTAAAATTAAAATCGGCCAGGCGTGGTGGCTCAATGCCCGTAATCCCAGCACTTTGGGAGGCCGAGGCAGGTGGATTACTTGGGGTCAGGAGTTCAAGAACAGCCTGGCCAATATGGCGAAAGCCCATTTCTACTAAAAATACAAAAATTAGCCGGGCATGGTGGCTCTCACCTGTAATCCCAGCTACCCAGGAGGCTGAGGCAGGAGAATTGCTTGAATCTGGGAGATGGAGGTTGCAGTGAGCTGAAATTGTGCCACTGCACTCCAGCCTGGGTGACAGAGCGAGACTCTGTCTCAAAAAAAAAAAAAAAAAAAAAAAAAATTTAAGTCAAGAAAACAAGCCATGGGATCCAGGATGTAGAGACTCTAATAAGAGTGATAAAGCAAATTCTCAGGATAACAACTCTGTAGTTAGCAGGGAAAATTACTAGGCCAGCTTGGAGTTGGGGACAAAGTATTCCGGGAGAGAGAGCTTAAGGGTGGAGTTGGGGGTGGGGGAAAAAGGGAGGGTGGAGGAGGGTAGATAAAAATTATTACATCTAGAAAAAAAAAATAACAAACTAAAGGAAATGCACTTGTTCCCCTATTGAAAAATATTTCATTTTAATTTTAAAAATGCTACAATTATGCACTACTAGAAGGTAAGAAATTGGAAAGGCAGTAATAGAGATAGAGATCAAGAGTTAAAAAGAAGGAGCAGAGCAGAATGCTGTATATGTGTTCTTAATTGTAAGCCTTCTTGTCACTGGGGCATTTACCGATCAATATGAAATATATAAATAATAATTTCCATTGATAAAAAAATAAGTAGTTTGAACAACTCTGTTAATTGGAGTATAACTGAAAATCTGTCATTTTTAACAGACTTTATATTTTTGGAATAGTTTTAATTTCACAGTAAAGTTAAGCAGAAAGCATGTGAACTTTCCCATATACACCCTGTGCCCCCACATGCAGATTATCCATTATCAACATTTCAGACCAGAGAGGCATATTTGTTACAACTGATGAACTGACACTGACATTATTATCACCCAAAGTCCATAATTTACATTAGAATTCACTCCTGGTATTGTACATTCTATGAGTTTTAACACATATAAAATGGCATGTATCCCTGTAGTAATATTCATAATAGTTTCATTGTTCTAACAAAACCTCTGTGCTGTCCCTAAAAAATTATTTTAAACAATCTAATTGAAGATATTAGATAATGAAAAATTATAGTGCCAATAAGTATGAAAAGAGAGACACCAGAAAAGTGAATACAGCTTTTGTGGCTGCCTTACCTCTAAGAATGTGTTTCATTCCAGAAGAGGCAGCTAAGATGATGAAATGTTAGGCAGCGCTTTCTAAAGCCCCCAAGACATCAAGTCATAAAGAATTAGTCTAGGGTCAACCAAGTAAAGAATAAGGATAGGTGCAAACTCAGGGAATATGAGTGAGTCTAAAGTATATTGCCCCTCATAAGAACTATATATAGACATTAGATTATCTCTACCCAGTTTCCCATCTATCACAATTTTTATTTTGCCTGTCTAAATTCTTTAGACTTTTTTTGAAACAATTCTCCTGACCATAAATTTTCTCAGTTTTTTATATATTTGAAAATATTTTTATTTTATTTTTGAAAAAGTATTTTCACTAATCATATATAGTTTGATTTCTTTGACTAGCACTTAAAATTTTTATTTTCATTGCCTTTTGGCCTGCATAATTTCTGATCTAAGACATGATCTTCTTGACGACTGTACCTAATGCCCCACATACGGTGAAATCTCTTCATCTGGTAAGAAAGCAACTTATTTCCAGCCTGTATGAACTCTGAAAATTGTTCTGCCTATATATTTTTGCCATTGCCAAGATTTCTGTCTCTGTAAATCATGTAAAAACTGTATTATAATATTTGATTCCAATTATACAAAAGCATGGCATTTGACCCACTTCTTTCTTTGAAAATTATTTTATTCTCTACTTCCTTCTTCATATTTTCTTCTCTGTGTCTATGATGCTCTCTGGGTACTTCTCTCTCTTTCTCTTCTTATCTCCCTGTATCCTTTTCTCTCTGTCTCCCTGTCTCCGAACAAATATTTTCTTGACAAGCCTCTTTATCCCTGCTGGGTAAGTTACCCATCACCCTTTTGTCTAGGAAAAAGAAAGACTGACAGGGCTATCTGTGTAGTGGACACTCTTTGTTTTGTCTGTTTAGTCACAATTAATCATCAGTATTTTTCTGTAGACAAGTTGTATGTACAGAAGAAAAGCTTTAAGAGAGTGATTCATAGCTAGAGTGTCTTAAGATATTGATACACTTAAGATCAGTAAAAGTGAAAATGATACCATTGGCCAACTGCTAAGAATTGTGCATAACCAGTAGCCCATGTTATCTTGCAGAAGCATTTGTTAAGTCTTACACAAAAAATGCTAAATACTAGAAGACAGAAAACTGAAAAATCATAGAATTCAAAAATATTTTTTAAAGTAAAAGAAACACATTGTTTATGCATACATTATGTTATCACATGTTCAATGTGGTATCAAGCAAAAAAGGGAGGGAGCTGCTATTCTAGAGAACAGTTGAAAATACCTCTTGTTATAAACTGAATGTTTGTGTTCTTCCACCAAAAAAAAATCATATGCTGGAATCCTAACCCCCAGTGTGATGGTATTTGGAGGTGAGGTCTTTGGAGATAATGAGGTCATAAGGGTAAAGCCCTTATCCTTGAGATTAGTGCTTTTATAAGAAGACACATGAAAGCTTGCCCTTCTGTTCTCCCCCATGTGAAAGGTACATTCTGCCAACAAAGGACAAGACTTTTACCCAACACATATCCATCAGTACCTTGAACTCGGATTTTCCAGCCTCCAGAACTGTGAGGAATAAAGATATGTTGTTTAAGGCACCACGTCTAAGGTAATTTTTTGTATCAGCCTAAGATATTACTCAACATGGGCAGGAGTAACATATTCTCTGGCTTTTCCTCATCAGGAGTGACAATGAGGAACAAAACAACAGGAAATCAGTTGTTTGGCGATAAAATTAGTATCTGTTCATCTAGTAAAATTGACTATAGGGAGATCAAGGATGGATATTTTCTGCTCTTCAGAAAAAAAAAATGGAGAATATTCCAAACCTAAGAGATACTAACTTATAATATTACAAAAAATAGATACTTTGAATTTTTAAATATTTTCTCTTACCACATATGGTTAACGTTAGTATTGGAGTTTGTAAACAGCCATTAGAACATTTACTAATAAAACATGAATTTCTTCTTTCCTTTTTTGTAATAAACAAAAATGTAAGGCATAAAAATCTTACAGAACAAAACTAATGTATACCATTGCATTTAAGAATATTTTTCATGATTTGTAAACTAAATGTCATAGAAACTTACCTCTGAATACAGATCTGAATACAGAGTAGGCAGACCAGGATTTCAGACTATTTTTTCTATTAAAATGTTCACATTTGATTCTGTTCTACCTAAAAATTTAGGTTTTTCAAACACAAAAACCTAGGTGGCAATTTTAATATTCTGTAGTTAGATCAATCATGAAAGTCTTATGATATTTGGTTCTGTATTATAAGAAATAAACATAATTAAAGGAAATTGCCTAGCACTAATACCAGTTCAGTTTTCTCTGAGTTTCTCTTGATCTTATGTGACTCATTTGGTTGATTTTGATTTCCAGAGTAACGAAATTCAGAAGAAGCAATCAGGGACTGTGTGCACCAACATTTCACTATGAATTAGACCTAGATCCTGCTAAATGTTCACTATTTCTGTCTAACATCGTCCAGCTTACACAGAAAGTCAGACATTATACCAAATCTGAGTTTTCAACAAACAGAGTGAAATGTAGAATGACATGGCACCTAACAGAGTCAGCTGTGATTCAAGATAACTGATGTACAAGGGCAAACTTATCAACTTGCTGAAATTGAACTGGGCTAAATCACTTTGCTCTCTCTGAAGCAGCCAAACTAGCAAGGAGGCTATAATTTAGTGTCCCGAACATGGACATAAATAGACAACACATGGAATTCTAACTTCACACTAAATTTATTTCTTTTTTCTTTTTTCTTTTTTTTTTGTGATGGAGTTTTACTCTTGTTGCCCAGGCTGGAGTCCAATGACACAACCTCAGCTCACTGCAACCTTTGCTTCCTGGGTTCAAGTAATTCTCCTGTCTCAACCTCCCAAGTAGCTGGGATTACAGGTGTATGCCACCACACCCAGCTAATTTTTGTATTTTTAGTAGAGATGGGGTTTCATCATATTGGTCAGGCTGGTCTCAAACTCCTGACCTCAGGTAATCCACCCTCCTTGGCCTCCCAAAGTGCTGGGATTACAGGTGTGAGCCACTGAGCCTGGCCACTTCACAATAGATTTCTATAGGCTACAGCCAAGTATCCAGTTCTCATTCTTGTGAATAAATGTACCTGAGAACTCTGAATCATGCTAGGACAAAAAGACACATTTTTCTGTAATATTTAACTTTCTACCTTTTTTAAAACTCATATTTTTGCTGTTGAATTTCATTTATGTGAGTATATCATGTGTTTTACACTGGGTTTTTATAAAGTTCATTTTTAAAATACTTGAGTTGGGTAGTGTTGAGTAGAGTTGAAAGGGAAATTTATGTAGAATAAGATGCATTTGCCTGAACATTGTATTAGTGAATCTTATTTAGACAGACATTAGCTCAATTATTTGTATTATAAGGTTATTCACTGCAAATGATTAATTGTAAGTAGATCAAAAAAGTTGCAGTGTGTATCTGTAAAATGGAATCTTTTGCAGCCATATAAAAGTACGGACATTTGCAACAACATGGATGAATCTTGAGTGCATTTTGTCAAGTGCCATAAATAATTCAGAGAAAGACAAATAAGATATGGTATCGCTTATGTGTGGAATCTAAAAAAGTTATCTAAAAAACTCATAGAAACAGTAGAATTAGAACGATGGCTGCCAAGGGCTGAGTGGAGGGCAAAATAGGGACATGTTGGTTGTAGGGAATAATTTTCAGTTAAAAGATGAGTAAGTTTGGGTGGTTCCAAGATGGCTGAATAGGAACAGCTACAGTCTACAGCTCCCAGCATGAGCAACACAGAAGACGAGTGATTTCTGCATTTCCAACTGAGGTACCAGGTTCATCTCACTGGGTCTTGCCGGGCAGTGGGTGCAGGACAGTGGGTGCAGCCCACCCAGGGTGAGCCAGAGCAGGGAGAGGCATCGTCTCACCCAGGAAGCACAAGGGGTCAGGGAATTCCCTTTCCTAGCCAAGGGAAGCCATGACAGAAAACACCTGGAAAATCGGGTCACTACCACCCTAATACTGCACTTTTCCAAGGGTCTTAGCAAATGGCACACCGGGAGATTATATCCCATGCCTGGCTCAGAGGGTCCCATGCCCAAGGAGCTGCACTCATTGCTAGCACAGCAGTCTGAGATCTAACTGCAAGGGGGCTGCTAGGCTGGGGGAGGGGCGCCCGCCATTGCTGAGGCTTGAGTAGGTAAACAAAGTGGTGGGGAAGCTTGAACTGGGTGGAGCCCACCGCAGCTCAAGGAGGCCCGCCTGCCTCTGTAGACTCCACCTCTGGGGGCAGGGTATAGCAGAACAAAAGACAGCAGAAACCTCTGCAGATTTAAATGTCCCTGTCTGCAGCTTTGAAGAGAGTAGTGGTTCTCCCAACACGGAGTTTGAGATCTGAGGACGAACAGACTGCCTCCTCAAGTGGGTCCCTGACCCCCGAGTAGCCTATCTGAGAGGGACCCCCCAGTAGGGGTAGACTGACACCTCACACAGCTGGGTACCCCTGAGACGAAGCTTCCAGAGGAATGATCAGGCAGCAACATTTGCTGTTCAGCAATATTTGCTGCTCTGCAGCATCCACTGCTGATACCCAGGCAAACAGGGTCTGGAGTGGACCTCCAGTAAACTCCAACAGACCTGCAGCTGAGGGTCCTGTTAGAAGGAAAACTAACAAACAGAAAGGACATCCACACCAAAACCCCATCGTACATCACCATCATCAAAGACCAAAGGTAGATAAAACCATAAAGATGGGGAAAAAACAGAGCAGAAAAGCTGAAAATTCTAAAAATCAGAGTGCCTCTCCCCCTGCAAAGGAATGCAGCTCCTTGCCAGCAATGGAACAAAGCTGGATGGAGAATGACTTTGACGAGTTGAGAGAAGAAGGCTTCAGATGATCAAACTTCTCTGAGCTAAAGGAGGCAGTTTGAACCCATTGCGAAGAAGCTAAAAACCTTGAAAAAAGATTAGACACATGACTAACTATAATAACCAGTGCAGAGAAGTCCTTAAATGACCTGATGGAGCTGAAAACCAGGGCACGAGAACTATGTGACAAATGCACAAGTTTCAGTAGCCGATTTGATCAACTGGAAGAGAGTATCAGTGATTGAAGATCAAATGAATGAAATGAGGTGAGAAGAGAAGTTTAAAGAAAAAAGAGTAAAAAGAAATGAACAAAGCCTCCAAGAAATATGGGACTATGTGAAAAGACCAAATCTACCTCTGATTGGTGTACCTGAAAGTGACGGGGAGAATGGAACCAAGTTGGAAAACATTCTGCAGGATATAATCCAAGAGAACTTCCCCAACCTAGCAAGGCAGGACAACATTCAAATTCAGGAAATACAGACAACGCCACAAAGATACTCCTCGAGAAGAGCAACTCCAAGACACATAATTGTTAGATTCACCAAGGTTGAAATGAAGGAAAAAATGTTAAGCACAGCCAGAGAGAAAGGTTGGGTTACCCACAAAGGGAAGCCCATCAGACTAACAGCAGATCTCTTGGCAGAAACTCTATAAGCCAGAAGAGAGTGGGGGCCAATATTCAACATTCTTAAAGAAAATAATTTTCAACCCAGAATTTCATATCCAGCCAAACTAAGCTTCATAAGTGAAGGAAAATAAAACACTTTACAGACAAGCAAATGCTGAGAGATTTTGTCACCACCAGGCCTGCCCTACAAGAGCTCCTGAAGGAAGCACTAAACATGGAAAGGAACAACTGGTACCAGCCACTGTAAAAACATGCCCAATTGTAAAGATCATCGAGGCTAGGAAGAAAATGCATCAACTGATGAGGAAAATAACCTGCTAACATCATAATGACAGGATCAAATTCACACATAACAATATTAACCTTAAATGTAAATGGGCTAAATGCTCCCATTAAAAGACACAGACTGGCAAATTGGATAAAGAGTCAAGACCCATCAGTGTGCTGTATTCAGGAGACCCATCTCATGTGCAGACACACATATAGGCTCAAAATAAAGGGATGGAGGAAGATCTACCAAGCAAATGGAAAACAAAAAAAGGCAGGGATTGCAATCCTTGTCTCTGATAAAACAGAGTTTAAACTAACAAAGATCAAAAGAGACAAAGAAGGCCATTACATAATGGTAAAGGGATCAATTCTACAAGAAGAGCTAACTATCCTAAATATATATGCACCCAATACAGGAGCACTCAGATTCATAAACCAAGTCCTTAGAGATTTACAAAGAGACTTAGACTCCCACACAATAATAATGGGAGACTTTAACACCCCACTGTCAATATTAGACAGATCCACGAGACAGAAAGTTAACAAGGATAACCAGGAATTGAGCTCAGCTCTGCACCAAGCAGACCTAATAGACATCTAGAGAACTCTCCATCCCAAATCAGCGGAATATACATTCTTCTCAGCACCACATCGCACTTTATTCCAAAACTGATGACATAGTTGGAAGTAAAGCAATCCTCAGCAAATGTAAAAGAACAGAAATTTTAACAAACTGTCTCTCAGACCACAGTGCAATTAAACTAGAACTCAGGATTATGAAACTCACTTAAAACCACTCAACTACATGGAAACTGAACAACCTGCTCCTGAATGACTACTGGGTACATAATGAAATGAAGGCAGAGATAAAGATGTTTTTTGAAACCAACGAGAACAAAGACACAACATAGCAGAATCTCTGGTACACATTTAAAGCAGTGTGTAGAGGGAAATTTATAGCACTAAATGCCCACAAGAGAAAGCACGAAAGATCTAAAATTGACACCCTAACATCACAATTAAAGTAACTAGAAAAGCAAGAGCAAACACATTCAAAAGCTAGCAGAAGGCAAGAAATAATTAAGATCGGAGCAGAACTGAAGGAGATAGAGACACAAAAAAACCCTTCAAAAAATCCATGAATCTAGGAGCTGGTTTTCTGAAAAGATCAACAAATTGATAGACTGCTAGCAAGACTAATAAAGAAGAAAAGAGAGAAGAATCAAATAGACACAATAAAAAATGATAAAGGGGCTATCACCACTGATTCCACAGAAATACAAACTACCATCAGAGAATACTATAAACACCTCTATGCAAATAAACTAGAAAATCTAGAAGAAACTGATAAATTCCTGGACACATACACCCTCCCAAGACTAAACCAGGAAGAAGTTCAATCTCTGAATAGACCAATAACAGGCTCTGAAATTGAGGCAGTAATTAATAGCCTAACAACCAAAAAAAGTCCAAGACCAGACGGATTCAGTCGAATTTACCAGAGGTACAAGGAGGAGCTGGTACCATTCCTTCTGAAACTATCCCAATCAATAGAAAAAGAGGGAATCCTCCCTAACTCATTTTATGAGGCCAACATCATCCAGATATGAAAGCCTGACAGAGACACAATAAAAAAAGAGAATTTTAGACCAATATCCCTGATGAACATCAATGCAAAAATCCTCAATAAAATACTGGCAAACCAAAACCAGCAGCACATCAAAAAGCTTATCCACTATGATCAAGTGGGCTTCATCCCTGGGATGCAAGGCTGGTTCAACATACACAAATCAATATACGTAATCCAGCATATAAACAGAACCAAAGACAAAAACCACATGGTTATCTCGATAGATGCAGAAAAGGCCTTTGAAAAAAATTCAACAGGACTTCATGCCAAAAACTCAATAAATTTGGTGTTGATGGGACGTATATCAAAATAATAAGAGCTACTTATGACAAACACACAGCCAATATCATACTGAATAGGCAAAAACTGAAAGCATTTCCTTTGAAAACCGGCACTTTCTCTCTCACCACTCCTATTCAACACAGTGTTGGAAGTTCTGTCCAGGGAAATCAGGCAGGAGAAAGAAATAAAGGATATTCACTTAGGAAAAGAGGAAGTCAAATTGTCCCTGTTTGCAGATGACATGATTGTATATTTAGAAAACCCCACTGTCTCAGCCCAAAATCTCCCTAAGCTGATAAGCAACTTCAGCAAAGTCTCAGGATCCAAAATCAATGTGCAAAAAAATCACAAACATTCTTATACACCAATAACAGACAAACAGAGAGCCAAACCATGAGTGAACTCCCATTCACAATTGTTTCAAACAGAATAAAATACCTGGGAATCTATCTTACAAGGGATGTGAAGGACCTTTTCAAGAAGAACTACAAACCACTGCTCAATGAAATAAGAGAGGACACAAAAAAAAGGAAGAACATTCCATGCTCATGGATAGGAAGAATCAATATTGTGGAAATGGCCATGCTGCCCAAGGTAATTTACAGATTCAATTCCATCCCCATCAAGCTGCCAGTGACTTCTTCACAGAATTGGAAAAAACTACTTTAAAGTTCACATGGAACCAAAAAAGAGCCTGCATTGCCAAGACAATCCTAAGCAAAAAAAACAAAGCTGCAGGCATCACGCTACCTGATTTCAAACTATCCTACAAGGCTACAGTAACCAAAACAGCATGGTACTGGTACCAAAACAGAGATATAGATCAATGGAACAGAACAGAGCCCTCAGAAATAATGCCGCATATCTACAACCATCTGATCTTTGACAAACCTGACAAAAAAAAGAAATGGGGAAAGGATTCCCTATTTAATAAATGGTGCTGGGAAAACTGGCTGGCCATATGTAGAAAGCTGAAACTGGATCCCTTCCTTACGCCTTATATGAAAATTAATTCAAGGTGGATTAAAGACTTAAATGTTAGACCTAAAACCATTAAAACCCTAGAAGAAAACCTAGGCAATACCATTCAGGACATAGGCATGGGCAAGGACTTCATGTCCAAAACACCAAAAGCAATGGCAACAAAAGCCAAAATTGAACAATGGGATTGAATTAAACTAAAGAGCTTCTGCACAGCAAAAGAAACTACCATCAGAGTGAACAGGCCACCTACAGAATAGGAGAAAATTTTTGCAATCTACTCATCTGACAAAGGGCTAATATCCAGAATCTACAACGAACTCAAACAAATTTACAAGAAGAAAACAAACAACCTCATCAAAAAGTGGGTGAAGGATATGAACAGACACTTCTCAAAAGAAGACATTTATGCAGCCAACAGACACATGAAAAAATGCTCATCATCACTGGCCATCAGAGAAATGTAAATCAAAACCACAATGAGATACCATCCCACACCAGTTAGAATGGCGATCATTAAAAAGCCAGGAAACAACAGGTGCTGGAGAGGATGTGGAGAAATAGGAACACTTTTACACTGTTGGTGGAACTGTTAACTAGTTCAACTATTGTGGAAGACAGTGTGGCAATTCCTCAAGGATCTAGAACTAGAAATACCTTTTGACCCAGCCATCCCATTACTGGGTATATACCCAAAGGATTATAAATCATGCTGCTATAAAGACACATGCACACGTATGTTTATTGCTGCACTATTCACAGTAGGAAAGACTTGGAACCAACCCAAATGTCCATCAATGATAGACTGGATTAAGAAAATGTGGCACATATACACCATGGAACACTATGCAGCCATAAAAAAGGATGAGTTCATGTCCTTTGTAGGGACATGGATGAAGCTGGAAGCCATCACTCTGAGCAAATTATTGCAAGGACAGAAAACCAAACACCACATGTTCTCACTCATAGGTGGGAATTGAACAATGAGAACACTTGGACACAGGAAGGGGAACATCACATACTGAGGCCTGTCCTGGGGTGGGGAGGGATAGCATTAGGATATATACCTAATGTAAATGACGAGTTAATGGGTGCAGCACACCAACATGGCACATGTATACATATGTGCACATATACAAACCTGCACGTTGTGCACATGTACCCTAGAACTTAAAGTATTAAAAAAAAAAGATGAGTAAGTTTGGGGGACATAATATATAGCACAGTGACTATAGTTAACAATACTGCATTGTATATAGTAAGACCTCACTTAATATTGTTCACGTTTTCTTGGAAACACTAACTTCAAGTGAAAGAACATATAACAAAGCCAGTTTTACCAAAGGGTAATTGATTTAAACAAGTAAAGTTCCTATGGCATATTTCCGGTCACAAAAACACCTCCAAACTTCTAAATAAAGACCAAAACATGTAAATATTAAGAATTGAAATAAATATGAGATATCATTTATTTCACATAGAAATATCGATAAAAACATGTAAGATAATTATTTAGCCAGTTATTCCAGTTCAGGGTCACAGGTGGCTGGAGCTTATTGCAGAGGCTCAGGATGCAAGGCAGGAACTAGCCCTGGACAGGAGGTCATTCCATTACAAAGCACATTCACACACACACTCAGATGGGGGCAATTAGACACACCGATGAACCTAATGAGATCATTTTGGGAATATGGAAGGAAATCAGAGTACCTGGAGAAAACCTACATAGACATGGGAAGAAAGTGCAAACTTCACACAGGCAGGAGCCCTGGCCAGAGTAATTTTTTTTTTTCTCATTTACATTATAATGAAACAATGTTGAACGAATCAATGTTATTTGAGCACCTGCTGTACTTGAAATTTGTCTAGGAGGTGTGTCTTGAATATTCTCACCACAATAAAAAGATAATTATGTGAGGTGATTGATAGGTTAATTAGCTGCTGTGTGGTAATCATTTCACAACATGTACCTATATCAAAACATTACATTATACTGGGTAAATATGTTCAAGTTTTATTTGTCAATTATATCTTATTAAAGCTGGAAAAAATAAAATAAAGAAAGCAGCACTATAAAAAAAGATTGTTAATGATGGTCCACCCATAAGAGCATTAAATCTGTGTTATTAAAAAAATCTTTAGTATTTTGGTGTTCACACTTCTGGGAATTTAGTTATGATTATTAGGTAACTATTTATGGCATTCATTTGAGTGTTAAAATGAGCAACTAAACAAAAACATTGCCTATATAAGCTTACTAAAAATAGTATTACATAGATCCACGTTAAAAATAACACAAGAAAATACAATGATTTGGCTTTAGCCAAAAACAGAATAATTACTGTAAAGTTATTGACAGTGTGTAAATGTGGGATCATCTAAATGTAAATGCTCTGAAAAAGTTTTGTTGCTACTAATGCAGAAGTTATTTCACAAGAAACTATATAAAATTTACTTAAATATATACCTTACTGTTGACATAACGAGTATATTTCCTCTCCACTGAAAGAATGCAGACCTCTTTCTGATAAGGCAAAAGGGGTTCTCTTCAAGATCTGCCCCATATCTTTTTCTGGATTTCATGTCAATAACTAGGGTTTGTTTATAGAAAATCCCAGCATGGTACACTGTAAGCCTTATAAGGGAATAAAAGGATCAGATAGCAAAGGAGCTATGAGAATTATACAGCCTTTACCAGCAGTAGCCAAGAGAATATTCTTGCTACTGAATTTTGACAGTGCCTGTTCAAGGGGTAAGACTGTAATACTAAGGAAGAGTTTATTAAATTTGGGGCATTCCCTCATTTTACAGGATATGGCACCCTGGCAAAGACACTGGGAGATGATAAAAATTTAGTCCTATGTTGGCTTCCAGAGGCTTAGAGAAAGCAATGACCCTTACTGAGCAAAGTCGAAATTCCTGAAATTTCAGGAGCAGGTAGCAATTAAAATAATCAGGGAAGCAATGATGTTGATGTGGATGTATTATATGATAAGTGCCTCACCACACTGGAATATTTGTTTCATAGGAAGACCCAGAGTAGTCACCAGTCACCAAGCTATTAGAAATATGTGAATAAGAGGGACACTGGCATCACGAAGATGTTCAGCAGTAGCTTTCTGCTGCAAACCAGGGATGCTGGGAGAAGAGGCAGTTTTAGAACTTTGGTGGGTGATACCAACAGAAATGGTGGGCTTTGAATCAGTTGACATCAGTGGCAATGTTCAAATTTCAAAAGCTAAAGGATCACAGTTATCGAAATGGCCAGTAAAGTTGGAGAGCAAAACAATGAGGTTTAACCTATAAAGAGTTGTGAAGATGATTAATAAAACCTTGCATCTTCAACAGCAAAATAAATATGCAGAAAAAATAACTAAAATGGATGAGCATAAAACTGAAGCCATTTTCTCAGTAAAAAGTCATAATCACTTGCACTTTTCCCAGATCTGAGCCATTGTTCTGTCCATTGACTGAAAAGATAACTGAGTCTATAGGAAGAGGAAGCCTATGATGTCATAACAAATATACACAGCAACAAGCCCCCTTTCTTTTCCTATAGCTGACTATATATTGGTAAAAAAGAAATACTCAGATATTTTGAAGACTATTGGAAATAGAGTCTGAGTTCATATTAATACATTGAGAACAAAACCATCATTATGGTTTCCGTGTTAGAATGGAGGCCAAGGAAAAAGTAGAATCTTGGTCAAAGTCCAGCTACCTATTATTACACTGGTGTAATTTCCTCAGCCCTTGAATGTATAATTCAGGTTCATATACTTGGCATTTGGAGAAGGCTTGATGTTGGATCACCATTTATATGTAAGATTAAAGCTGTCATAGTGGAGAAGAGCAAGTGGGAGTCTCTATGACTGCTGCCCCACAAAGACAGGATAAAAAAAAATTAATATCACATCTTGGGTGGATGGGAGAGGTTAGTGCCACCTTTAAAGATCCAAAGGATGTAATGGTGGTGGTCCCTGTCATATCTCTTTTGAATATACCATTATATATCTGTAGAAAATGGATAAATGAGAGAACAGTTGTAGACTATCACAATCTCAACCAAACAGTTGCCCTGAGAGTATCTTTCATGCGAGTTATGATTGTTGCTAGAGAAGATTAATGCATATTCTAGAATATAGCATATACAATGATTGTTTTAGTTAATATATACTTTTCTATCATAACCAGAAAAATGGATATTAAAAGGTTTACGTTTATATAAAATGGACAAAAATACACATTTGCAGTTTGACCTCAGGGCTGTTAAGTTAGCAAACTCTTTGTTGACATAGTTCAAAGATTTCTAGGCCATCTGAACTTCCAAAATATATCAAATTGATTTATTGCATCAATAACAGCATGCTCATTAAGTATGATAAGAGGTGTCTTATATGTTGGAACCCTTGGTATGATGAATATATTCCAGAGAGTTGGAAACAAACCCTACAAAGATTCAAGGATTATCCATTTCATTAAACATTTTAATGGTCTAATGGTAGGGAAACCCAGGACACCCCCTTCAAAGTGAAAGATAACTTGCATACTTTTGCATCCTCTACTACAAGTAAGAAAACACAGCAGCCTTTGGGTCTCTTCAGATACTAGAGGCAATGCATGATACTACCTACTATAAATACTGCTCTTGTAAATATATTGGGTAACACAAAATCTTCCCCTATTGAGTGAGGTCTGAAGAAGAAAAGGATGCTGTATCAGGCTTAATATCCCAAGCCTTGCTACATGGGCCATAAGAACCAGAATGTCTATTTTGATAGAGGTGTCGAGGGTAGAAACTGATGCCAAGTGGAGTTGACAGCAAGTCTTAATAGGAGAATCATAGTATAGGCCCCTGGATTTCAGAAGTCATTCCTTACTATTTAGTCCTTACACACTCGTTAAGAAAAACTCTTGGTATGCTACTGGGCTCTGTTCCAATTGAACATCTGACCATGAAGCATCAAGTGAACATGACTTTGTAAGTGTCCACTATTAATGACATCTTATTGGATTCATCAAAACATAAATCAGATTGCGCCTGGCACCATTCCATGGTAAATTAGAGGCTATACATCTGGTCAAGCTTAAACTAGACAATTTGGGGGAGAAAGCATGTGAATGAACACATGGCAGTGGGCATAAAGTGTGACATTCTTTTCATCATGTTAACACTCACCAGAAAGCATCCACCCTAAAATAACCACTAGATAATAGAAAAAAAATCCTTGACCTTTGTTCGGGGTGAACACTAATGACATTATGGACACACACATTACATTTTCATGATGGCTGAGATGGAAGTTATAATCAGACTTAATAGCTTGATGAAACAGTTATTAAGAGCAGTCTATCTAGTGACACACCTGAGTGTAAACTAGTCTGCAACAGACACCAATTCTAAGATATCTGTATGATATTATTACTTATGGAAAGCAACTGGGCATTTCATGGCAAGTTGACTGACTGTATCACTGACTGTGCTCACTAGGTCCTTAAAGTGTAAATAGTTTTTGCACAGGAATGAACATTTATCCCAGATGTGAGTTTGTCTTTCTTGCCCACGAAGCCTCAACCGGAAATATTATCTGAAGGTTTACTGAATGCCTGATTTTCATGCATGGAATTCCACACACCATAGAATCCAAACAAGGATCTAATGGACTGTGAAGGAAGTGAGGGAGTGGGCCCATAATTATAGGATCCATTGGCCATATCATATAACCATAGGATACATTGCTCATATTATGTTTTGCATTAAACAGAAATAGCTGCTTTGATAGAGTACTGAGATTGCCTTCTCCAGGTACAACTGAAACACTAAGAACTGAAACAATATTCTGCGAAGATGGATTGATGTTCTACAGGTTTCAGTACACAAACTAAAGACATTTATATAATGCTATAATGCTGTGTCCCAAACAGAATTGAATATATGAGTCCATGATTCAAAGTTTGGAAGCTGGAGTTGCTCCACTTGTCATTCCCAATGATCTACTTGAGGATTTAGTGCTATTTATTCAACTCCAGCCTTTGCAGTATTAGATGTTTCAGATTTCCAAATAGGCACATTCTTGAGAGTGTAAACAGCAAAGATTCCATTTCATTACAATCTAAGGTGGCTGCTTCAGCACTTTCGTCTATGAAAACATAGATAAAGAACAATTCATTCTAAACTGGTAGTCAGAGCAGTCAGTTTCCACAATATTAAATGAATTTAAGCAAGAGTTTGGATATTGTTTATTACTGATAAGCTCAAAATACGGATGACTACTGGCTGAAATATAGTAAAAGCAGGGAGAAAAGGGATAATTTTTCTCTCCCCTCAGAAGCTCAAGCTACTATCCTCTACGGATGGGAAGCTGAGGGTGGGTGTGGAGAGAGGAAGAAAGCTCATGGTTTTGAGGCTCATTATTTGCTGTGAGGTAACCTTGGGTATCTAGCTTATTAAGAATTTTAAAACTTTAGTTTTTATGCTCACATTAATTAATGTTTTTCTTCATTAATATAGACTGAAGGAAAAAATCTATTCTAATAAAATGCTAAGAAATATGCATGAGTTAATATTTCACTCTAAACCTTTTTTTTCTTGTTGGAAGATATTAATACATCTTTAAAAGTAAAATTATTTTGTTTTCAACAATATGGTGCTAATAACAAAGCATAGCAAAAGTAAATTGCCATTCATCAGAAGACATCAGTTATATTTTTCCCTAATTTCTCACTTCTGATAGATTCAGCATTCATTGTTTTTGTGTTTTCATGGAATAAAGTTCTTCTTTTTACCCTCATTGCCTGCACTGTTATTTGTCCTTGGAACAAAAGCTAAAGTATGCCTCCAACGTCAGATGACTTTATTGCTATTTGGAAGCGTCAGCTTTAGCAACAAGATAATTGTATTAACTATTCATCAAGCTTTGCACTATTTGATTCTATCAAGGCAGATAATTGTAAATGCAACAATGCTTGAATTTCTCCAAAATGCCCTGCTTAGCCTATCATGGTAAAAATTCATTACTGGCTAGGAAAGCAGTAAAGTGTATTTATTTTAATATTAATTATCCAAAAACAAGACAAACATGAGTTGGAAGACAAGAAATAATGCGGATGGTGCAGAATTATTCCACTAATTGTTTTGGCTTCCAATACTGCAGTACAGTTGTTTCAATTTCTACCTAAACAGAATGACCTATGGGCTTTGTTATCTTGAGAGGAACATAATTATCTGCTGCATTTGCAGCTTCATGGATTATTAAGATGAATTGGAACTTGTATAGACTTAGGAAACAGTATTTCCTGATTTAAGACTTTTGCAAGATTAGAAAGAACCCATTGGCAATTCCATAACCTTAGAAACTCTGAGGAAAGAAGAAATTTTAGGCAAAGGTTAATCAAAAGAGAACCAATTAAATTTAACCAGGATACTCAAAGCAACTTGTAAATTATTTTATCTTCAGACTAATAATGAACAATAGGAAAGGAAATAAAATTGCATCCATATTTCCAAAATCCAAAGTTAATTTTATGTACATTATTTGCATATTAATATATGCAAATATTTATTCATTCTTGTAGTTCACGTGTAATAATATGTAAATTCTTATCCATCACTTTAACATTAATCTGGTAGGATTAAAATGATAATTTATTGCATAGTTTTAAGCATCATGTTTATTATCTATTTTTGCTTGATATAAATCTTTGACATTCTTATGACAAGTAATTTTTCTGTCTTGTATATCTTTTCTGTATTTAGGAGAGATTACCCAAATTAGAGTAATTATAGGTTTTTGATATTCAGCAGATGACTGGTATCATATGGTGGTTAATTTTATAACACCTGGGTTAACAGTGAATTCAAATGGTTTGGCTCAATACAGGTGAACTCAGGTTACATTACAGTCCAACTTTGAGGTAGCCATGAAGCATAGTATTAAGGGAAATTTTCCCAAGTAGAATATGAAACTTTGAGAGTTGGCAGTTTGGATATTTGATGAGTTCTAGGTTAACCTCCTTTTTGGCAACATATGTGATGTTGGTGAAATGTAGTATACAGTGAAATCAAATTCACATTATTATGGTTTGTCCTATGGGTGGTATACAGGTAGAAAGTAAAGCTTTGAAAGATTAAATGGTTATGGCACTTAGTAACTTTGATGATTGGTCACAACTGATGACTACGAAGACTTTGGGGCAGACTTGCTGTCTGCTTCTGGCTGCCTTTAAGTACATACCTGGAGAAATACAATGAACAAGCTTTGCATTTCCAAATACAGGCTCAAGGAAAGAATCAAGAAGGTTTTGTAGAACCTTAAATGCCCTTAAGTGGCAGAACAGAAAAGAATTAAACGCTGAATAAGTGAATACGTATAAGTTTGGATCAGACAAATCTAATGATATGGGTTCACTCCCCTAGAGATTAGGGATGCAATGTATTGGGAGTGGTGTTGAGAGTCTGCCAGACTGGCTAATTCAAGCCTGAACTTAATAGTAATCTACAGCTTTTTGACTCCAAGAGTGGTCAGAGAATCAACTGGGAGCATTATTTGGGAGCTTTAGCAACACAGAATTTAAGGTTTCACCCTACAGCTACCGAATTAGTCTGTCTTCCAACTCATGTTTGTCTTGTTTTTAGATAATTAATATTAAATAAAGTTTTACTGCTTTCCTAGCCAGTAATAAATATCCAAGATAGTTGTCTGTATATTAAAATTTGAGAAGCAATGTCCTTATGTCAGTGAACTTCCTGATCATCTTGTAGAGGAAGGAATCCTAATAATCAAGAATCATAAATGTTGGTGTAGGTCCTCTATACCTGTCAGGTATCTTCTAAATAATACCATGTAGAAGTGTTCCTGGACACCCCTGTATTAAGGCATTATGAAATATGCTAATGAGAAGAAGGCCAGCATAGTTGAAATGTATTAAAAATCTTTGTCATGTTTTTTGACCTTAGGCTGAAGACAATAATAAGAAATGCTGCCATAGAGTGGTATAAAACTATAATTACTAATTAGGCTTCATGACTATTATTTTTAATAATTACTTTTTTCCCTGTTTGTTTACTCCTTTTACAGTGAGCAGTAGTGTTAGATAATGTTGCAACTGAGGCTTCAGGTGTGAATATGAATGAATGGCTGCTTTTGTTCAACAACACAATTGTGTAGTTATAACACAGACTTTTATGCCCATCAAAAATATTGACTGTTTTATAGAAAATATCTGCTGACAACTAATCCAAGCAAATCATAACACTGAAGCTTGAGTGATAAAAAGGTGTGTATGCTGGTTCTCCTTTTATCAAATCATTCCTCAGCGATTCTCTGCTCTATGTCCTGGAATGCTCACCTCTAAGAAGTGCACTGCCTAAGCAAATTTGCCCCTTGGCTTCTGGTTTAATTTGAAGAATGGTAACTGCAGGCTGGGCATCAAAGTGAGAAGAGAGAGAAGTAGAGGTGTTGGTCTCTCTCCCTTGCCTTTTTCTCTGTCATTTGGGTTGAGGGTTTTTTTTTTTTTCTCTCTCTCTCTTAAAGGCTACAGCTCCTGAAAGGCTGTCTTCCACCGTGGCTACAAGAGGTTCAGGTAACATTCTCCCTCTTCTTGTCTTTCAGGTCTGATGGTGGTCTTTGAAAGCTTGATAATCAATTTTTTTGTTTCCTTGGCCCTGCTGGCAACTCTGGAAATATTCCTTTCGTTAAACTCTTCTCAATTAAAATGTTGATGGTTTCATTTATTTTCTTCCGACACAAGTGGATCCATGCACTGCCCTGTAATGCTACCACTTTCATGTATCAATGTGAGAATGGCTCTATCTATATCTGAGAGCTCTGTTTTACCAATCAGTTTAATTTTTTTGTCTGCCCCAATACTGTACTGACTTACATATTCTGACATTATGATTAAGCAGTAAAATACTAAGGAAGAGGTTTTGGGAGAGATTGACCTCAACATGGAGGAGAATTTTATCTCTGATACAGTTTAGAATTGCCAATCATGTTGGTAATTTAAGAACAAAAGTTCATTTACTTGGTTTAACTGTTAATTTAAATCCTTTACAGATAATGCATACTTTATTGCCTGCAACCAAGGAAAACCATTCCCCACACCAACCTTGGCACACTTATGATTAAGTATTAATTGTATCATAGAAGAAGTTACTCTTCTTTTTTAAATGGATTTTCCTACTCTTGGTGGTTTAATTACTTTTCAATATAAATGTTAATGTCACCTTATCAAATACTAGATAAAATGCTTTTTACTTTAATTTAAATTGTATTATATGTATTAGATGTATGCATTATTTATTTGGCAGAATTTATATCTTGTAATATTGTATTTTGTACAAATATAGCTGAGATATCTTGCTGCTAATTTTTCAAGAAAATTCATAGTTTTTTGTAACCATCCTGACTATATTTTCTCACATTTCTTTCTAGTACCTAATGGTCATTATGGCTATACAAAATTGACTTATTTTTAACTTATATTTTCTGCTTTTGATGTTATACAGAGAGAAAATAGATATTTGCCTATTGAACTTGAATACAGACAAGTTCCTGAATTTTGAGTATTTCTAACAATGTATATGAGGACTTTCTGAGAATTTTCTACATGGGAATTTAAGTCATTTTAAAATAAAGACACTTATTTTTTCTTTCAATCTTTTTGCCTTTAATTGCCTTTTTCCTCCTTTATTTCTTTATTATCCATGGGTCAAGATGATGAAATGAAAGTGGTGATATTTAACATGCTTATAATTTTAAAGGGAATGTTACTAATTTTTCTTCATTAATGACATATTTCGCTGTAGATTTCTCATAGAACCTATTACGAAGTTTAGTTTACCAACCTATTACCATATTTCATTGTAGATTTATTGTAGAACCCATTACCAAATTCCTTTCAATCTATTCCTAGAATAACATTTTTCCCAAAATTATGCTTTGAACTTTGTCTTTTTTTTTTTTACCATCAAATGAAATACACACACACACACACATACACACACACACACAAGCAATTTCTTACTGTGGGGAATAGCAGTTACACATTTTCTAATAATAGACACACCTTACTTTTTAGGATAAATATACTTTGGCCCAGGAGTTTTATCTTTGTTTATCTTATTCCCATATGAATTGTCATAGCTTCATCTGAATTTTCTAGTAGTATTGCCCTGATTATACTGTCCTTGTGAATTCTGATGTAAAAGCTAGACTGTCCTCATAGAAAAAGTGGAGGTATGCATTTTTTTCAATTATCTGTTCACCAAAAGATGTCTTTTTTATGTCTGAAATGTTCTGTTCTTAAAAAGAGATTAGCTGGTACTCCCACTAAACTATTGTTTAAATTTCTTTAATAGTTTAACAGTGCAGCTTTCTCTTTCTTTTAGGGATAGATTCTGAAAGTAATTTTCCTAGTAATTTTCCATGCATATAGTTTAACATACACTAGTATAAAAATCAATCATGGTAATTTCTCTACAATCTCTGCTGTACCATATGTGTTTACTCTCAATTCAGTTTATCTGTGTTCTCTCTCTGCGTCTTGGTCTTTCTGTGTCCATCTCTCTCTCCAGGTTCTCTCTCTCTCTTTAATCTCACTGAAAGTTTGATATTTTATTATACATTTCAAGTGTGGACTTGCTGATTCTTAATTTTGTGTTGGATTTATTTGCCATTGTGTTTGTTCATTTATTTAAAAATTATCTTCTAAGTTTACATCTGTTGTTTTCTTGTTTTTAACTTCTGAGTTAGACACTCATTAATTTTAAGCTCTTTTATTTTCTTAGGTAATTATTTTCTAATTTAAGCATCTGAAGTTATAAATTTACTTTTATCTACCCAAATTCACCGTATTTAACAAAATGCAGTAGTGTTGAAATTACGTTTTACTTTTCTGTGTCTTTAAAATTTGCATTACAATTTATCCTGTTATCTTTGAGATATTTAGAAATGTATTCTTGATTTTCAATTTATTTTCTGAATTGGTGCTATATATGTTTTTTTTTTTTTTTCTCTGGTGCCCGGAATACACGAACTACCTAGGACTGCTTATGCCACCTTGAAAATCCTTTGCTTAATAATGGAGTCTCTTATTCATTTCCTACAATTTGCAAATGGCCCTGGGTTTAACTGTGTCATTAATAGCAACACTGGTGTCACCATGCATCATAAGATACCTCTAGTGTCTGCATTCTGCTTACTGCTTCCTCTTCTCCTTTTCATTCACTTTTTCTTTAGAGGGGCCAGTGTACATGTGGTGGATATACATTTTTTACTCTTTTTAAGTCCAGCAATGCATTAAAATTGATTATATCCAGAATGTAATTATTTAAAAAAAGATAGTCCCTTCAAACAGGTAAAATAAGACTTTTAAATTCATATACAGATATTTCCATCATTGAAGTATATATAATTTGAGGAAAATGGTATTTAACAACATTATAAGTATTGGCATATATAAAATTTTGTAGAGGTAGTAACCAAATTTGAGATAAAAATACAAAGCATCATTAAAGGAATCATTTATTTTATTACTTGATTATAAATACAATAATCATGCTCACATACCATCGTTTAATGTGATTCTAGAAAATAGAGCAGGCATATAAATGTATTAAACTTTATGAGGACTTCTCTTGGAAACATCTTGGGTATTAAAATTAGTAAAAACATATGATATTTATAATATACTAATTAATAATTGCTTCATATTATCATTGAAGTCTCTTCCCTCCCCCTTTTGGTCCTTACTCTGGGTAACTATCACTGTCTTATTTCTTCATTCCTATTTGCAAAGTTGCATGAGCTCTAGTGCAAAGTATACAGCCCTGCTTTCTGTCTCCAGTAAAACTTCACAATTGAATAAATTGTAAGATATCCCTTTTTCAGTTATAATTTTATTCACATGAACTTCATTACACAGTTTCATAAAAATTAATAATCTCAAATCCACAACCTTAACACCATAGACTACCTCAACTGCAGTAGATTTCATTTCTAATTTATTGAAAAATTAAAGAAAAATCATATTTACTTTTTGGCTATGTTTTTTTCTTTCCTTGCCTATGGTCTCTTCCATTCTCTCTTGCCCCTTTTATTTTATATTGTCACCCAATATCAAGTGTTTCTACTTAGTAAGACTGACCTTTCTGGCTATGAGTGTTCTCCCAATTTGATGTGAGTCTTCCTTCATCGCTTGTTTTTCTTTTAACTTTATTTTAAATTTCTCTTTTTCTATTATTTTTTCCTAGATCTACAAATATACCCACCAATCCTAGACATAGTGGAACAGAACTGCTTTCCTTTACAATAAGCTCCTTTCCAATATATTGGGATAAGAAATAATGGAATAAGAAGGAGGAGGTACAACTTTTAAAGCATTTTTAGTTTAAAAAAGAAGTTATGTTATGTTTAGAGATGGAAATACTCTTTAAAGAAAACTGAATTAAAAAATCTCGTTGACTCATTTATTAAGGAGGCATAAATCCAATGAAAATCACATTTAAAAAAATTCTTAATTATGGTGCAACCTACTACAAAAATGTTACTTTATATGTTTTTAAAAGACGGAAGCCTGAGAGATGCTTAATCTACTTCTCATTCAGTGTTTCACCATGCTTCTTATGCCATTCACTGTTCTATAAATTTTTTTTACAGAGCTGTATCATAATATACTATCAAGTGCATTATAAAAGATTAGAATGTTATTTCTTTTAGCACTCTATTTATGCTTACTACTGACTTCAAAGGACATTCAGGATGTAGAAGAGTTATTTTCCCAAGGGCACAAAGAAGAAATAATCCCGTCAGCAATTCTTATAGACAAGTGATGCAGAGGCAGTTTTAGCAAACATATAGTCTCCTTTTAACCAGAAATGATTTGTGTGTTTTCTTGAGGCAATGTCTATTTGTAGCAGTGTTAACATTGACATCAGTAGCTAGAAAATGACAGCAAAAGACAAATGATCCTCAGGTGTAAAAATCAGCAACTGAGATCCTTGGCCTTTGGGAAAATGTCAGGATGACCAAGAATGACGGCAGATCACAGAAGGGCCATAGACTGAAACCTTTACTTAAATAAAGGTCATACCCCTACAGTGATCTCTGCAGCATTCTAAGAGTGGCAACTTCATTAAAACTGATGTCCAGGAGAGTCAAGGAGAGTACATAGTTGATAGTTCCCAGGACATAGAGAATACTCCTTAGATTGTGTCTGTGTGTCTGTGTGTGTGTATGTGTGTGTGTGTGTGTATCTGTGTGTTAAAAACTTATTCTGTCCCCCTCCATTAAAACTTCATGATGGAAATGATTCTTCATTAAGAAAGAAAGGCATTCTGTTTCTATATTCTTTTAGCAGAAAAACTGAAAAAGAATGAGGAAGAACATGTTCATGTGTTTCATACAGAACATGTCCTTTTTCATTCTTTTTTTCTATATGACATAGAAATAGTAGAGGGAGGTGGGTAGAGAGGATAAAAAAGGCCATGTTCAAACAGTCATCACTCGGTGAGCTGAGCTAAAATGCTGATAAATACTATTAGTAGTTGCAGTCAACTACCATTTTCTATAAAATGGGTGGCTTTTCTCACACTTGATCTTAGCCAAAAGGCCGACAAGTGATAAAATGGGTGGCTTTTCTCTATTAAACTGCTCTCCTTTTCTGGTGTTTAGGGCACATCTTTAAAAACCAAAATACATGAAGGAATGAGTGGATGGATGAATAAGAAAACAATTGCTAGCATCTATATAAAGGCAGACAACAAAATAAGAAAAATATGGAAGAATATGGGAAATTTAATTTAAATACTGAAGAATTAAAGATAAGTGATTATCTCCACTTCTGGTAAATACATATTTAGTAATCCTAGAGCATCATTTAAAATCACAATTCATCACTTCCTTCATTGGTGTATCATAGCTGATGGATAATCTTTTGTACACATTTGCTCTGAGAACCACAGCTAATGTTTTAAACAGCCAAGAATTTCTCAAAAGGTCACAATTTCTTCTGAATCCCTTCTTATTACCATTTCATATAATGCAATTAAAATATAAAGTGGCTATTAATGGACAAAACACTCAATAATATAGCAACGTTACTAACACCAAAGGGAATGCCCCAATGAACCAATGCTAATTTAAGAGCATTCTGTTAAATATAATTTATTTTTTTGCATTCTGTTAAATATAATTTATAGGAGACCAATGATTTGGACTGAGCTTTCTGCACCAGGTCCAACAGAGCAAACCAAAATGGAGCTGCTCATTCTGACATTCCACACCACCAAGCCAAAACTGTTTATCTGATCTAAGAAATCAGGAGAGAAAAATAGCCAAATCCCCAGAAAGGCCAGTTTTTACTGGCATATAAGAGAGTCCATTGTACCTTAACTTTTATAGGCAAAGCAATTTTGAAACAACCTATTTGTTTTTTGTTATATGTTTCTGCTTTCCCTATCCCTTTCTGTCTATAAAGCCAAATTTCTTTGCATCGCTTATTAGGGCACTCATTCTGTTTTATAGAATAAGGTATATTTTATAGAATAAGGTATTGCCCAATTCTAGAATTGCAAATAGAACTCAATTAAGTTCTTTAAACTAAATGTGTTGTAATTTTGTCTTTTGGCAGTTTTGGAGATTGACAAAGAAACCTAAGGGACACTTCTGACAACCCCAAAGACTCCTTGAGGAATGGAGGAGAGGTGCCTCTGACCCCTTTCTGAGATCCCCTGTCTTCCTCATGAAGCCGTGAGGGTTGTGTCAACTGAAGCATCATGAGGTGTCTAAATTTGGAAAGAACAGCTTTATTTCTTTTAAAGGGTTGCAGCCTGCAGGCTGGACATCTTGTAACCTGCTCCCTGGAGGGCTGGGAAGGGTAGCCTCCTGTCAGAAGCTGAGTGCAAGCACTTTGAGAGAGGGAAAGATAAGACAGGAATTTATGCTACATGCTTTGGCTAAGTATGCATATTCAATAAGCTATAGGAGGAGCCATGAATATTTACGAAAGGAGAAATGTGTATGTGCAATTGAGCTTCATGCCTCATTGTAGGTCACATGTTCAAAAAATGATGTCATTAGCATGATCCAAGGGTGGAGTTTTCAGCCTTCTGATATCAAAAGGTGAAGAGAGGACAAGAAACCCTCACTGGGCATGCTTACCAGTCAGCCGAAACCAGTCCAGAGATGGTAGTCAGTTTTTACAAAGAGATGGATTGTGAAGCAAGTGAAATGTCACATCATAACTGCAAAGAGGGAGGGGGCGACCAGTCACAACCTCAGATGACTTGCTAAAGGAGATAAAGGAATGAGTCATCAGTTTCTTGTTTTCTAGAAATAGCTTTTGCTTACTCCTTAGAAAATAACAATTCTGATTCAAAATTAATAAGGAAGGGGCATACAGAGGCATGTCTGGGAACTCAGTTTTTAGGTTTCTCTCGGGACTTCTTGGCCAAAAGAAGGTCTATTCAGTCAGTTGTGAGCTTTAGGATTTTATTTTTGTTTCAAAATTTTAAGTTCCTCTGAAGTCAAACTCTTCTCTTTCAGGAGTAAGCCCCCCAGTAATTTTGATTTTCAAATCCAGGGTTAGTTTGTGCTGTGAGAGAATGCATGATCTTGGTGTGCGTACCATACTGAGTGTTAGTTTGTGCTGTGAGAGAATGCATGATCTTGGTGTGCATACCATACTGAGTGTTAGTTTTTTGTTGTGAGAGAGCACATGACCTTGGGGTGTGTCCTGAGGGTTAGCTTGTGTTGTGAGATTGCATAACCTTGGGTTGTATACTGAGGGTTAGTTTGTTTTGTGAGAGAACATATGACATTTTGGGATTTGTAGTGGCTGATGAGTCACTGGCAAGAGCTTTAGTTTTAAAGGTAATTTGCTGTGGCTGTGGTAAGTTGCAGGGTCTGTGAACTATGACTTTTGAAATTCACAGCAATTTGAATTATATCTTTTTTGTTACTTTATTTTTGTTTTTTTGCATGTTAAGCTAGGGGGAAATTATTGGCCAAGTTAGTCAAGCAGATCTCAGGCACAAGGCATAACTTGACTGGTGGGCAAGATTCAGGCACTTAAAAGCTATTAGAGCACATAACACCAAAAATTAGACTACTGTGGGAGGATAAACTAGACACAGAGCTTGATAGCACCCAACAGCCTAAAGAAAATGTTCCTGTAATGAGGTTTACTGTGAAAGCATTACATGACCCAACCGTGTGGTGTTTCCCTCTCGGGGTATTATCTTGGCTGGAAGACACCAAAGATTCAATGTAAAAATAAAATCCTTGATTTCTATAGAATTAAGTAATCTATTTTCCAGCTATGCTTGCCTTTTACATGTATAAGTATTAGGTTCAGGAAGCAGAAAACAATTACAAAAATGATGAAATATCACCAAAGACAATTTAAAATTAAGATGGCCGTTATGTGGAAATTCCAGATGAACAACTCAACACTTTAAAAAATGCATCTAAAAATGAGGGCTCCCAGATCAGGCCCATCCAGGGATGCCTATTCATGTGCAGAAACTTCTAAAAATTTTTCAAAAAACTGTTATTTTCTCTTTTTAAAAGACTCTTTACAAGAAACAGATGAAAAGCTTAAGCAACTAATTGATAAGAAAAATGGAATCTACTAACCTTTTCACTTAGGTACTATTCCACCCCAAAGGTGAAAGGAAAGCTACATGAAGTATTCATAACAGTTTGGCCCTCAGGTAAAGCAAGTTTGTGTCTTCTTTTATAGAAATATCCACACTGAGTTTCAGTATTTAAAATGCTTCTTTTGCCCCATTAGTTAATGAGCTGCATCTTAAAGTCAGTAATGCAGTTAAGACACAAGCTAAATTGAAAATATTGAACCAAATCAGTTTTCAAAATACCCTTTCCTGGCATTTATCTGGCTCTTTTGAAACTCTTCAAAAAATTTACACCTATAAAGGAAAACCACTAGAAATTCTTATAATAATAGAGAACATTGGTCTAAACAAGCCCCACTTTTGACCATTTTGTCTTAACTAGGCATCTTACATACACATTTCTTTTTCTGGGTATAGAATCACATCATCTGCAAAAAGAGATAGTTTGACTTCCCCTCTTTCTATTTGGATTTTTTTTTTTTAATGGAGTTTTGCTCTTGTTGCTCAGGCTGGAGTGAGTGCAATGGTGCGATCTTGGCTCACTGACTGCAACCTCCACCTCCCGGGTTCAAACGATTCTCCTGCCTCAGCCTCCCAAGTATCTGGGATTACAGGCATCTGCCACCACACCTAGCTAATTTTTATATTTTTCATAAAAATGGAGTTTCACCATGTTGGCCAGGCTGATCTCGAACTCCTGACCTCAGGTGATACACCTACTTCAGCCTCCTAAAGTGTTGGGATTACAGGTGTGAGCTACCGTGCCTGGCCCTTGGATGCCTTTTATTTCTTTCTCTTGCTGGATTGCTCTGGCTAGGTCTTTCAATACTATATTGAATAGGAGTGGTGAGAGTGGGCATCCTTGTCTTGTTCAGATTTTCAAGGGGAATGCTTTCAGCTTTTGCCCATTCAGTATGATGTTTGCTGTGGGTCTGTCATACATGACCCTTGCTATTTTGAGATATGTTTCTTCCATTCCTAGTTTGTTGAGAGTTTTTAGAATAAAGGGATGTTGAATTTTATTGAACGTCCTTTCTCCATTTATTGAGAAGATCATATGGTTTTTGCTTTTAGTGCTGTATATGTGATGAATTACATTTATTTATTTGTGAATGTTGAACCAGACTCACATCCCAGGAATGTAGCCTACTTGGTTGTAGTGGATTAGCTTTTTGATGCACTGCTGGATTTGGTTTGCTATTATTTTGTTGAGGATTTTTGTATCTATTTTCTTAAGGAATATTGGCCTGAAATTTTCTTTTTTTTTTATTGTGTCTCTGCCAGGTTTTGGTATCAGAATGATGTTGACCTCATAGCATGAGTTAAGGAGGAGTCTCATCTCCTTGATTTGTTGGAATAGTTTCAATAGAATTGGTACCAACATTTCATTACACATCTGGTAGAATTTGGCTATAAATCTGTTCTGGTGAGTAGATTATTTTATTAATGATTCCATTTCAGAACTTGTTATTAGCCTGTTGAAGCTTTCAGTTTCTTACTGGTTCGATCTTGAGTGACTGCATGTTTCCAGGAATTTACCATTTCCTCTAGTTTTTTTTAACTTGTATGCATACAGGTGTTCACATTAGTCTATGAGGTTTTTTGTTTGTTTGTATTTCTGTGAGATCACAGAATGTCCCCTGTATAATTTCTGATTTTGTTTATTTTTCTTTTTTTTTTTCTTTAGTAGTCTAGCTTGTGTTATATCAGACTTATTTTTTCTTTTACAGAACAACTTTTGGTTCATTGCCCCTTTGTATGGCTTTTCTCATCTACATTTTGCTCAGTTCAACTCATTTTGATTATTTATTTTCTTCTGCTAGCTTTGGGGTTGGTTTGCTCTCGTTTTTCTTTTTCCTCTAGTTGTGACATAAGGTTGTTAATATGAGATCTTCCTAACTTTTTTGATGTCGGTGTTCGGTAATATAAACCCTCCTCTTTACACTGTGTTAGTGGTGTCCCAGAGATTCTAGTATGTTGAACATTTGTTTTCATTAGTTTCAAGGAATTTTTTCATTTCAGCCTTAATTTTATTCTTTACCCAAAAGTCATTCGGGAGCAGGTTGCTTAATTTCCATATAATTGTATGTTTTTTTTTTTTTTTTTTTTGAGACGGAGTCTCAATTGTATGGTTTTAGGAGATCTCCGTGATATTCATTTCTATTTTTATTGCGCTGTGATTCAAGTGTGCAGTTTTTTTTTTTATTTGTTGAGAATTTATTTGTGGTCAAGCATGTGGTCAGTTTTAAAGTGTGTGATATGTGCAGATGAAAAGAATGTACATTCTCTAATGAGGTATTCTGTGGACGTCTGTTAGTGCATTTGATCAAATGTTGAGTTCAAGTCCTGAATATCTTTGTTCATATTCCACCTCGATGGTCTGTCTAATATTTTCAGTGGGGTGTTGCAGTCTTCCACTATTATTGTGTGTTTATCTAAGTCTCTTCATAAGTCTCTAAGAACTTGTTTCATGAATCTGGATGTTTTAGTGTTGGATGCATATATATTTAGGATAATTAAATCTTCTTGTTGAATTGAATCGTTTATCATTATGTAATGCCCTTCTTTGTCTTTTTTGATCATTACTGGTTTGAATTCTGTCAACCCCTGGCCTTTTTTGTTTTTCTTTTGCTTGATAAGTCTTTCTCCATTCCTTTATTTTGAGCCTATGAGTGTCCTTGCATGTTAAATGGTGCTTTTAAAAACAGTATACAGTTGAGTTTTCCTTCTTTCTACTATTGCCACTCCATGCCTTTTAAGTTGGTCATTTAGCCTGTTTACATTCAAGATTAATATTGATACATACAGATTTGATTCTGTCACCATGTTACTAGCTGTTTGTTAGTAGAATTCATTGTATAGATGTTTTTTAGTACCTGTGGCCTATATACTTAATTTCATTTTTGTGGTGGAAGGTAATGATCTTTTGTTTTCATGTTTAGCACTCCTTTCAGGATTTCTTGTAAGGAAGTTCTGGTGGTAATGGATTCTGTTAGCATTTGCTTGTCTAAAAAGGATCTTTTTTTCTCCTTCACTTATAAAACATAGTTTGGTTAGCATTTTTTTTTCTTTTTGGATGCTGAATATAGGCCTCTAATCTCATCTGGATTGTAGGCTTTCTGCTGAAAGGTCCAATGTTAGCCTGATGGGGTTCCCTTTGTAGGTGACCTGTCCCTTCTCTCTAGCTGCCTTTAATAATTTTTCTTTTGTTTTAACCTTGAAGAATCTGATGAATGTGTGTCTTGGGGATGGTTGTCTTGTATCATGTCTTGCAGGGGTTCTCTGAATTTCCTGAATTTGAATGTTGGCCTTTCTTGCGAAGTTGAGAAAGCTTTTGTAGACAGTATCCTTAAATATGTTTTCTAATTTGCTTTCTCTTTCTCCCTCTCTTTCAGGGATGCCAAAGAGTCATAACTTTGGTTACTCTACATAATCCCGTATTTCAGGAAGGTTTTATTTGTTAAAATTCTTTTTTTTTATTTTTGCTTGACTCAGTTGATTCAAAGAACTGCTCTTCAAGCTCGGAAATTCTTTCCTCAACTTGATCTATTCTGCTGTTAATGCTTATAATTGTATTATGAAATTCTTGTAGTGAGTTTTTCAGCTCGATCAAATCAGTTTTGTTCTTTCTTAAAATGGCTATTTTGTCTTTCATCTCTTGATACTTTTTACTGAATTCCTTAGGTTCCTTGGATTGGGTTTTAACTTTCTCTTGAATCTCAATGATCTTTGTTGACATCCAAATTCTTAATTCTATGCCTGTCATTTCAGCCATTTTATTCTGGTTAGGAACTATTGCTGGGGAGCTGGTTCAGTCATTGGAATGTAAGAATACATTCTGGCTTTTAGAGTTGCCAGAGTTCTTGTGCTGTTTTTTCTTTTTCTTTTTTTTCCTCATATGGGCAGGCTGTTCTTCTTTTAACTGTGATGTAATTTGAGTATAGTCAGTTGGCTTTATTTCTAAATTTTTCAGAGGACCAAGGCTATGAGCAGGGTTCTTATTTATGGCTGAATTATTGTCCTTGGTTCCATAGGACAGTATACTAGCAAAGTATTTGGTGATGAAGTTTGGGATGTGATACAGTAGATGGCACTTAAGTGTAATGGCTGGTAGGTAGGTTCTTATTCAGCTGGGTGGCTCCTCTGTATTTCCTTGTGTTTGCAGCTATGGTCTCTCTCTCAGTGCTCTGAGAATGTGTCCTCTCCAACTTGAGTGCTGGCTGCAGATCCCAGCTTGGCACTCCTGGGCTGCACAACACAGCCCCGGGGCAAGCTTTGGTTTTTTTTTTTTGTTTGTTTGTTTGTTTTCCCTCTGCAGCTTGGGTGCAACAGGAGAAGGGACTTGGCAGTGGCAACGGCAGTGGGTCTTTCATTTGTTTCTTGGAGTTCCACTTCAGAGAAATGCAGCCACTGCCAATCAGAATGATCAGCTGGGGGTAGAGTGAGTGCATTGCTAGTACATGCCACGGGGACCCTGCCTGGTGCAGAGCAGAGGGTGTCAGGCAATCTGGCCTCTTCCCCATAGGGTGACTGTGGCATGCTGGAGATGCAAGTAAAGAACTGAGGCTATTTGTTGCTTCCTCAGGCCCATAGCAGCAAGGGCAAGTACTGGTGCAGTGGCAGTGGCATATGGACTGTCAGTTGCCTCTGGAAACTCCACTCCAGAGTGACACAAAGCTGCTACCAATGGGGAGGTTCAGCCTGGAGTGGGGCAGCTGTGCTGCAGGCCCTACCAGGGCCCTGCTTGGTGAAGAACAACGGGCTCATAGGAAAGAGAGAATGGCCTTCCCTCAATAGGGCACCCACAGCATGCTTTTAATGTGAGCAAAATGATCAGGGATTTTGTTCATTCCCCAGCCCAAGAGCAGCAAGGGAGGGTACCACGGCAGTGGTAGTGGCGGCAAAGGGGCTGTCAGTTATTTCTGGGAATTCCATCCCAGAGAAACACAGGGCCACTGCCAATGAGAATGTTCACCTAGGGATAGGGTGACTGCACTATGGGCCCAAGCTAGGGGTCCTGCCTGGTGAAAAGCAGGAAGTCAGGGGTGCACAGGGAAGAGAAACTAGCCTCTTCTCCTTAGGGTAGCTGTGATATGCTGGAGGTATGCAAACTGACCAAGGTCCTTGTCTGTTCCCCAGTCCAAGGGCAGCAAGAGCAATACCATCACAATGGCAATGGCATACGGGCTGTCAATTGCCTATGGGACTTCCACCCCAGAGAGACACAGAGCCACTGCCAATGGGAATGTTCAGCCAAGGGTGAAGCAGCTATGCTGCAGGCCCAAGTCAGGAGACCTAAGTGGTAAAGAGCAGGGGGTTGGGGGCTCACAGAGAGGAGAGACTGGGATCTTCTCTGTCTAGCAGCTGAAGTGTGCTTGAGGTGCAAGTGATCAGGGTCTTTGTTCCCCCGCCTGAGGGTAGCAAGGGTTGGTACTGCTGCAGCAGCAATGGTAGAGAGCCTGTCAGGTGTTTCTGGGAATTCCATCCCAGAGAAACACAGAGCCTCCACTGACTGAAGTAATCAGGTGGGGGCAGGGTGGATGTGCTGGGGGCCCAGGTCAGGAGGCCCTGCCCAGTGAGGAGTAGCAGAGACAGGGACCCACAAGGAAGACAGTCTGGCTGCTTTTCCATACAACAGCTGTGGTGTGCTAGAGGCCCATGACTGTTCTGGGGCTCTTCACTTCCTCCCTAGCCTAAAGGAAGTGGGGGCAGGGGCTTCAGCCGTGGCAAAAGCTGCAGGGCTGTTGGTTACCTGTGGGAGGTCTAAACCAGAGAAAGACAGAACCGTTACCAGCCTGAGTACTCAGGTGAGGGTGGATTGGCTGCACTGGGATCCCAGGCCAATGGGGTTTGCCTGGTGAGGTACTCTAGAGGCAAGGCCTGCAATCCATCTGCTCCTCAGCTCCATGGATTTGGCCTGTATCCTGGGAGTGCAGGAGAGAGACTGGCCTCCCTTGGTGGAGATATAGCAGCTAGCGGCAAGGTGCTCAGATATCCAAGGCACTTTTGGGTCTATGTAGGTCTGAGTGGTGGCTCTGCCCAGACTCCATGCAGTTCTCCGTGTCAGTCTGGAGGCTCCACGGCTGGGAGTCAGGGGGCGTCTCCTGTGCCCAGGATTGCAAATGTCCATGGCAGCAGTGTGAGTCCCCAAGGGCTCTCACTCTCTCACCCTTTCCCCACCATGAGGAGCCTCCGTTGGCTCTGCACCAATCCCAGGAGCTCAGCTGTCTTGCCTCACTCCTCTCTGTTCTCTATGGGTCACGTTGCTTCCTTGGTGAACCACAATGTGTCCTCCTGGATGAACCATTTAAATAACTATTGTTTACTCACCACTCTGTCTCCTCTCTGTGAGAGTGGCAGCACACTAGCTTCTTCTAGTCAGCCATCTTGGCACCTCCAAGTGGTATTCTAATAGTAAAATGTTTTTCTTTACCTTTGAGGTAACTGGCCTAAGAAACAAAGATTCCGTGTTTTATTAAAATGGTGCCCTGTGCTTCATATTATTTTTAGGAGATCTTTGATTGCTTAAGAAAACTGAGTATTCTATCACAGAGCTAAATACTTTTCTAAAACTATATTACTTTCTATATTTGCCTTTTGAAGTCATTTAATTATCAATCTGATTAAATGAATATTATTTTACAGTTATCTGTAATCCTATTTTGATAAAAAGTTTAAAACTTTTGATCTTTTTCATAAACTTCCCAAAATCAAAGTTGGATTTATATCTCTTGACTTTGAATTCACTTTGGGATAATCCAGAAAGGTCCCAGGAATGTCTGAAAGAGACATAGTAAGCCAATTATGCTTATTTAATATGTTAAATTATGTGGGAGGCATTGTTAAATAAGTAATGTTAGCCTTCTTTGAGTTATAGTTCTATGAATTGGATAAATATGTTATTAATGTGTGTTCCAAAAAGTATATAAAATTCATAGAAATCTGATGTTATCAGCCAATATTTCAATTTTTATATTAATTTGTTGTATGCCACAAACTAACATAATAAAATATGGCCAGATTTTGTTCTCAATTTTGTCTTTTTTTTTTTTTTTTTTTGAAACAGAGTCTTGCTCTATTGCCCAGGCTGGAGTGCAGTGGCGCAGTCTTGGCTCACTGCAACCTCCGTCTCCTGAGTTCAAGTGATTCTCATGCCTCAGCCTCTGGAGTAGCTGGGATTACAGGCATACACCACCATGTCAAGCTAATTTTGTTATTATTATTATTTCTACTAGAGATGAGGTTTCGCCATGTTGGCCAGGCTGGTCTCAAACTCCTGAACTCAGGTGATCCACCCACCTCGGCCTCCCAAAGTGCTGGGATTACAGGCATGAACCACCACAACTGGCCATTTTTCTTTTTTTATCTTTGAAACAAAATCTGACTCTGTCATCCAGGCTGGAGTGGCATTATTATATCCAACTGCAGGCCCAAATTCCTGGGCCCAAATGCTCCTACTACCTCAGCCTCCCAAGTAGCTAGAACTACAGGGGCATGCTACCATGCCCAGCTAATTTCTTTTTTTTACATTGTATAGAGATGGGATCTCGCTATGTTGCCCAGGCCAATTTCAAACTCCTGGCCTCAAGTGGTCCTCGTGCCTTGGACTTCCAAAGCACTGGGATTACAGGTGTGAGCTACTGTGCCTGTACTCAATTGTGTCATTATTGTAGTAAACACTCATCTGCTCTTAAGCATAGCCATTTTATATCTTGTTGTACCATTAATTGCTTTATTCTAATGCTTTTCTGAAAGTTTTTTATAAGCAACTATAATCCTAAAGTGTTATCTCTTCAGGGAGATTCATGGAAAAGAAGGAAAGTACTCTGACAAATACAGATTTCTGATAACATTAAGATTATACCATTGGACCAGGTAAGAATTTCTAGAACTCTAACTCTGTTGGATTTGTGAAACTGCTAAGAACAAACAAAACAATAATTAATTACATGAGACAGAATGAGCTGATAAAAATAATTATGAATTTATGCATCTTATTAATTTGAAATATTGCTTTTAAAAAATGCTCTGGTTTTCAGATTTAAAGATTATGTTTTTCTTTTGAGCTATATATAGTTTACAGAAATTTGGTAAAGTCTATTCTTGTGAACAGAAATGGAAACATTTACTTTTTCTCCCTATCTTATCCATCCAGAATTTAGAAACTATTCAGGAATATTGTTATTTTAGGGAAATATAATTATTTGGATAAGCTAAATTATAATCAACTCCCTTTATAACAAGATACCATTAGAAATACTGGTTATATTACCACAGCTTTAAAAGGGATGTCATTTGAGAATTCACATAGAATGAATCTATAGGTACTGCAGGTGAAGTCTGAAGTCTGCTTTGATTTGACTTTTAGCCTTGAGAGGTTTTAAAGTCCAGTCTAAGATTCTCTGTCAAAAGTTCCAGTAAAGTCAACTGCAAAAGAGCCTATGTGATCAATATATATTTTTCCTGTAGTTATGTAAATAATCTGACCAAGTTTAATGAAACTGTACTGGTTTTGCAAACAAATTGATTTCATTCCATTTATCTTTGTTAGAAATGAGGGTAACTGTAGAGAGAAAAAAAATTAAGTTTCTGAAGAAAAGCTATAGGTATACCTGTTATTATATTGTAGTCCTTTTTATTGTTTTCAAGTTTTTATGATCTACCCGTATACAGGACTGGATCCTGAATTCTTCTAATTTCCTGCAACATCTGGCTACAGCTCTCCAACTGAGAACAACAATTGCTCTATTCCTGAAACCCTACAACCTGAAGCTGGAAAACTTGATGTAAAATTCACCCTTGCAATTTTTACACCCTTGTCTTGTGCCCTATATGGGCCACACAGAAAATTTACTAAAATCCTTCATGCCATAATCAGAGACATTCAAACTGCAAACAACGAGGACATATTAATGATTTCCTGCTGTGAGTGGCTTTTCCTCAAGACATCAGAACAGGAGTTTCCATCATAGTAGGACTCTTACTCTTATTTTTTTCTTGTGCGTGCCTACCCTTTTTGCTTGGTGGAATAATGCTATACATACAAATTCACAGTCAGCAGCTTCTGTGAATAACTTGATGAAATGTTGGATCTGTCACACCAAATCCAAATATTTACCTCACCCAAGGGATTCTTTAATCCACTAGTGAGTAACTTGAGCAATATCCATTGTGCAACTATTGTTCAAATTATACCCCAGGTCTCTTTTATAGAATAAAATTTGTATACCCATTTATTCTCACTCCCTGCTTTAGTTTAACCTGTCATGGGATGCTAGATTTTCTACTACCTGAACAGAAAAGAGTCTGTAAGGCTGATGGCACTTCTTATTGCATATGGATAAATACATCAGGTGTTGTACAAATTCAGTTGCAAAAAATTGGTAAACCAATTACTTGGTTAAAATAGGTAAGATTTATTGCCTGACTCGTTCTTTGTCTATTCAATTTTGGTTGGTTTGGTTTATGGTGACCCTAGCTAAGGGATATACTCCAAACTCTTGGTATTATCCTCTTGATAGTCATAATACTAGTCTTCCTGGTGCAATACGCCCTCTCAGAAAATCTTAAATGTCCACATGCAGCCGTCTGCTGAATACTAAGTGGCCTTTCTGGATGCAATAATAAAAACTTCAAGTAACATATGACAATCAATACACTGTAACTTATGAAAGATATGTTAAAACCCAAATCCCAAAATGATGGTGACTGAGAGTAGCATTAGTGCTTTAGGTTTGGTTCTACTTGAGATCCTAACTAAAAATGGGAAATTGTTAAATAAAATGTGTAGGAGACCATTGGTTTGAACTTTCTGTTCTAGGCCCAACAAACTAAACCCAAATGGAGTTGCTCATGCTGACGTTCCACATGACAAAACCAAAACTAAGTGTTTATCTGACCTTCCAAGAAATCAGAAGAAGGAAAAAACAGCCAAATCCCCACATAGGACATTTTTAGCCAGCATAATAACAAAGTCACCTTTGCTTTAACCTTTACAAGGAAAGTAACTCTGAAATGACCAGACTGCTTCATCTTCTGTATTTTTGCTTTCCTCAGCCCTTTCTCTCTATAAGTCCAAAAATGCTTAATATGAGGTTATGTTATAGGAGTTATTAAGAAATTACTTTAGGCAGATAGAGAGGAAAAAGGGTCCTTGGAAAGTTTTTGTTTCTTTTAAAGCAGCTCCAGAAACATTTCTTGTCTAGCAGGAAAGCCCCGGTTCTTAGAGGCTCAGGGGATTGGTTTGACCAGGCAATCTTTGATATGCAATTGCAAGCCATTAAAAACTGGGTCCCACAATTGTGTCTGCGCAAGGGTTGTGGCCCTTTCTGATCCCTAGTGCTGTTGGGCCTATTGGTCTTTGTCAAGCCATGGATGCAGGTCTCTATTCAGCAGGATGGGGTTTGTTAAAGTTGTTAAGAATAAGGCCTACTTTGAAAGATACTAAGTGAAATTTAGAAGATGATGAGAGGGTAAAACTGATTTCTGTGCTTGGACATGCTTGGAGATACAGGACAAAAATAAATACAGCACACCCAAATACAGAATGATAGTTCATGTAACAAAGATATCATTTATTAGATTGCTTATGCCCATATAGACGGGGATATGATAGTCTGCGCATCATATGCATACAAACTGCCAAAATATGGTGTGAAGTTGGCCTGACAAATTATGCTGCAGTGTATTGGACAGGCGTGCTGCTGGCCCACAGGCTTCTCAATAGATTTGGCGTGGACAAGATCTATGAAGGCCAAGTGGAGGTGACTGGCAATGAATACAATGTGGAAAGCATTGATGGCCAGCCAGGTGCCTTTACCTGCTATTTGGACACAGGCCTTGCCAGAACTACCACTGGCAATAAAGTTTTTGGTGCCCTGAAGGGAGCTGTCAATGGAAGCTTGTCTGTCCCTCACAGTACCAAACAATTCCCTGGTTATGATTCTGAAAGCAAGGAATTTAATGCAGAAGTACAGAGGAAGCACATCATGGACCAGAATGTTGCAGAGTACATACACTACTTAATGGAAGATGCTTACAAGAAAGAGTTCTCTCAATACATAAAGAATAGTGTAACTCCAGACATGAAGGAGGAGATGTATAAGAAAGCTTATGCTGCTATACGAGAGAATCCAGTCTATGAAAAGAACCCCAAGAAAGAAGTTAAAAAGAAGAGGTGGAACCGTCCCAAAATGTCCCTTGCTCAGAAGAAAGATGGGGTAGCTCAAAAGAAGGCAAGCTTCCTCAGAGCTCAGATGCAGGCTGCTGAGAGCTAAACCAAACAATTTTCCATGACGATTTTTCAGATAAAGACAACAAACTTATAGACAGAAAAAAATAAAATAAAAAAAAGAAACTGGGTCCACCCAAACATGGCAATTCCTACCACCTTCTTCTTGTCCTTGCCTCACATGTGCCTGGCATCATGGCCGCCCCCACATATCTCCATGTGTGTGGAACATCATGGCGCTCTGTATTTGCATATTGAATGACTAGATGGGAAGGCCAGTTTTTCACAGGCTACATGAATGACATGCCTGGTCAAACCAATCCCCTGAACCCTATGCAAACCAGACACCACCTCCTCCATCCTCTTCATATTAACTGGCTGATTTCTGCCACACTTGGGGTTTTCTCTTTGCTCCAATACCCCCTCCCTCTGTCTCTGCATGGGAGAGCTGTTTTCTTCTTCCTTCCTTCTTTCTTGCCTATTAAACCTTTCACTCCTTAAAACCACTTCACGTGTGTCTATGTCATTTTATCCAAACCAGCGCGAGGACCAAGAACCCTGGTGTTCCTCCACTCATCAGAGCTGCAGCAGTTACAATGGGGCCAAAACCACTATGCCTTTACTGTTAATAAGTTGGGTTTACACTTCCATCTTAGAAGCAACAAAAACTCCTGTTGTACTTTAGTATTGTTTATATTTGATCTAGATTGTATAGCCTGAGCTCTTCAAAGTTTTTTAGCAATGCAGGAAAAAATATTAGGAAATAATGTGCAAATACATAAAGAAAATTTAAGAAAATATTTGGTTTGATTCATTAAGATTCACATTATAAGATTATACATTATAGCGAGAGGGAAAAAGACTGGTTTAAACTTAAGACATTAATCATTCAACAAACACTTATTGAATTCAGTGTGAGCAAAGCTCTAATAACGCAAAAATGAATAGTTTCTTGACTAAAGTCTAGTAAGGGAGAAAAATTGGAAAACAATAAATATGAAGTGTAGAAAGATTGCACAAAAAATACAAAAGGAGAATAAACAAATAACAGAAACTCATAGAAATTAACCAATTGCTTGAGTAAATTGGGATATATTTTTCAGGAAGTTTGAGATTTGAGCTGTGCCTAGATGAATGAATAAATTTCCAAGGTAGAGGGGAAATAGCATTTCTGATATCAGAAGTAGCACTGTGCAAAATTTCAAATGTATGAAGTTCTGTAACAGACTCAGGGAAAGAAGAATTGTTCTGTGATAGGAAAACTTTGTAATAAACGTGAATAAAACAAAGGAAGTCAGAAAATTATGTGGATCTTTAAAAGTACAAACTGTAAAGCACTTATTAATGATGTCATGGGTTGAGACACACTGACTTTTATAAAGTTAAGTATATATCAAGAAAATAGAGAAAATTAGGCTTTTGTATTAGCTCACATTTGGCATTTTTAATGATTTTCAGTATGATGAACATTACTTATCAGTCAAAAGTCAAAAATATTTAGTAAGAGCCAATATGAAAGAGACAGGGAACTAGATGATGTAGAATAGGTATAGGTGCCCTTGGAAGTTGTATTTCCATCCTAACAAAAGAAAAGCTAAACAAACTAAAAACCAAAGAGTTTTCTTGGCCCCATAAGGGCACTGTATTAACAGGGAAAACTGCCACCTTCAAGTTGAGAGAGAGAGATGACTCCAGAGAGCTGCAATTGAGATCTACTATCTAGAGCAGAAGTTGTTGGAGCCATAAACGGGTAGTAACACTTAAATGGTAATTTTGATGAATTTTGGGAGACTTAGTGCTGGTAACTGAGTGTGGGTTAGTGTGAGAGTCAGAAATTCCAAATTTCAGGGGTACCCCCACACTTTCAGTGGGTATTGCCTTCAGAAACACCACCAAGTTCTCATAGTGAAGAGCCAAGATAGATTCTCTAGTGGCTCTGACTGTGGAGGGGAAAGGTAACAAAAAAATTTCCAAGAGTTTCCTCCATAACAAAGGCCCACTATCCAGGGGAAATAATTCATAAAACCATGTTCTACCTAGGGAAAAGGCATAGAGTACTGTCTGAATTCAATCTTCTTTAGCCTACCGGTATCAAATAACGATGGGGGCTGGTGGGGAGCACTTGTGAAGGCGACAGCCCAGGGACACAGCTGTACTAAAAGGCTAATATTTAAGCATAAGATTATAGAATGCTTTCTTGACACAACCTTTGCAAAATTATGACAGTATGAGAAATCTGACATAGCTGACTCCATCTTGCTTCTATCCTCTAAACTGTCCTTGCTTATTCTTGGGCATAACTAACTAACTTTCGGAGCAATTTTGTTTATAGTTTAACTTTAAAGCAAGTATAACAGCCCTTCCCAAACTTACTCTCTCCATGCTTGGGGACAAAAACTACGTTTGTAAAACTAACAAATTAGGGCTGGGTATGGTGGCTCACGCCTGTAATCCCAGCACTTTGGGAGGCCGAGGCGGGAGGAATCACGAGGTCAGGAGATCGAGACCATCCTGGCTAACATGGTGAAACCCCGTCTCTACTAAAAATACAGAAAAAAAAAAAAATTAACCAGGCGGGGTGGTGGGCGCCTGTAGTCCCGGCTACTCGGGAGGCTAAGGCAGGGGAATGGCGTGAACCTGGGAGGCGGAGCTTGCAGTGAGCCGAGATCGCACCACTGCACTCTAGCCTGGGTGACAGAGCGAGACTCCATCTCAAAAAAAAAAAAAAAAAACAAGAACGTGCATTCTGATATACCAGCTGGTGCCAACTAGACTGTTAAACTGGTTCAACTTGTCTTGTAATCCCATCCAGAAACTGACTCAGTGCAAGAGGACAAGTTTCATCCCCTATAATTTCATCACCAACCCAGTGAATATTCCCTATCCTCTAGCCCCCTGCCTGTCCTATTATTCTTTAAAAAATTAGCCACTAAATTTGAATTGTGTTATGAACTCCTGTGTGTTGTTTGACTGGCTCTGTGTTTATTAAACTCTTTCTCTATTGCAATACGGCTGTGTTAGTAAATCAGCTGTATCTGTGCAGAGGACAAGAAGGACCCACTGGACAATTACATTCCACCCTCCACACTTCTCCATATCAATAGTACTCCAGGATAATAATAGTGGATTACAGATATAAGATCTGCAAGATATATATTTTATTTTTAATATACGTTATCTTGTAAAAGTTCTTATTGAAGCTTAAAAACAACAGAAGAGACAAAACAAGACACTGGGGATATTTTAAGCCTCCATGACCTACAAATACAGAAAACATTAAATGCTGTTCAATTCCTAGGATGATTATTTTAGATACTCTGCATAGGTATAATGGTACCTGACCCAGATTTGCTTCAGACATGGCAACTGGTGACAGCATAAAAACATTAAGAGGATATGAAATATTTATTACTTTTATGGTGGAGGTTTTCTGGAGAGAACAGAGTAGACTTCTTTTAAGGGTCAAGGGAAAACTTTCCCTTCACCTTCTGAAGATTTGCTAAAAAATCAATGGACAAAAGGCAGATTTATAGGAGAAATGGCATACAATTTATTCATGTGTTTGGGGGAGAACCACAAAGTTATTATCCCCAAATCCCCAGTGGGGTATAGAAGTTTGTATATTTCTTGTTTCAGAGAGAAAAGGGAGGTGGGGAATATTTATAATTCTGTTGAGGGGCAATAAATGATTATTAGGGAAAATTAATAAAGCAGGGAACAGAGATTAACCTGTAAATGGTTCTCCTTAGAAAATGAATGAGCCTGAGAGACAGACGCTGTCTTGTGAAAGGGTCAGTTCAGGTGTTTTTACATTCTTCAGTCTTCTGCTCTGCGATAGATAATCAGATAACAGAGACGAGAAGGAAAAACAATTGTTCTCCTTGGGGGGTCCGTCTAGTCTCTATGTAAATGAAGGAAATATTTTTTCCAGTGTCTACTGATGTTTAAGGGCCTTTAATTCAAAATACCCATTATAACAGGGAGCCATTTTGGGGGTTGAAATATTTTGGTTTGCTTCACTCTGAAAGGGGTCTGAAATGACTGAAGAGAGCAAGAAAATGAGACTGGTTCAGGGTTTTTATTACGGATAGTGGGTGGACACTGGGTGAGGCTTCCTGGGCACAATCATGGGTTCCTCACCAGTGTCAAAAGAAGCAGAATCCAAGATTTCTTATCAGATTGACCAGATGGATGGCACCAGGGTACAGGGAAGAATGAGGCACAAAGCTGCCAGTAGTCAAACATCAAAATTTGAGTCAGACTCCTTACCATATATATTAACATAAAACTTCACAGCAAAGGCATATTGATCTCAATTTCTATTACTAGTAACATTACCTTTTTCAATAAAAAATTAGAAGGAAAAAAACCCAAGAAAACAAATATTATGAGGAGTCAAAACAACAAACTAAGTATCAGAACATGACTTATGGCACAGGTTTTTAAAATATCAGAGAGGGATTTATAATAACTATGATTGATATATTAAGGGGTCTAATGAAAAAGTAGATTCAAGAACATATGGGAAATGAAGTAAAAAGATAAAAACTTCAAGAAGCAATCAAAATAAATGTAGGAAATCAGAAACACTGTAACAGAAATGAAGAATGCCTTAAATAGGTAGACAGCAAATGGATTTGAAAAGAATCACTGAGCTTGAAGATATTTCAGTACAAACTTCTCAAACTAAAATGCAAAGTGAAGAAAGAATAATAATGGAAACAAAAACTGCAGCAACAAAACCAAACAAAATATCCAGAACTGTGGGATAATTTCAAAAAGCATAACATTTGCTTTATTGGAATATTGAAAGGAGCATAAGGAAGGAATCAAGCAGAAGAACCGTTTGAGCAATAATAGCTGAGAACTTTCCAAATATAATCACAAATACCAAACCACAGTCCAAGAAGCTCAGATAATACTAAGCAGGATGAATGCCAAAAAAAATAATAATAATCTAAACCTAGGCATATCATATTCAAATGTCAATAAACCAAAGATAAAGAGAAGATCTTAAAGAACCCAGAGGAAAGTCCAACACCTTACTTATAAGGAAATAAAGTTAAGAATTACACTGAACTTTTCATTAAAAAGCATATCATCATGAGAGAAGAGAAGGAAGTATTTAAAGTATTGAAAGAAAAATTGCCAAGCTAGAATTTTATATCCAGTGAAATTATCTTTATCAAGTGCAGGGAAATAATTTCTGAGACAAAAAAAAAAATAGGAGTGTGTTGACAGCATATCCACCTTTCAAGGAAGATCATTGAGAATAAATAACTCAAATTGAAACTAAAAAAATATTTTTTAACTTTTAATTGATCTGAAAATAACTGTATTTAAAGTAATAATACTAGTAATATATTTGGTGATTGTAAACTTGCATAGATAAGATAAATGAAAGCAATGACAAAATAAATGGAAAAAAATTGACAATGCGCCAGTATCAGCCATCTTTACTACACATGTAGTGTCATAGTATTAATTGAAGGTTTGTATGGATTAGGTAAAAAAGCATATTATGATCTCTAGGGAATTCTCCAAAATGAAAAATGCAAATACAATTTATGTGATAAAAGAGAAAGTAAATTAGAATAGAAGAAAATGCCCAATTCAAAGATAGTAGAAAAAGTAAAAATAAGTGATGTGAAAAAAAAGAAGGCGGCTGGGCACAGTGGCTCACACCTGTAATCCAATCATGGGAGGCCAAGGCATGGGGATCATGAGGTCAAGAGATCAAGACCATTCTGGCCAACATGGTGAAACCCCGTCTCTACTAAAAATACAAAAATTAGCTGGGTATGGTGGCATGTGCCTGTAGTCCCAGATGCTCGGGAGGCTGAGGCAGGATAATCACTTGAACCTGGGAGGCGGAGGTTGCAGTGAGTCGAGATCGCGCCACTGTACTCCAGCCTGGTGACAGAGCAAGACTCCGTCTCAAAAAAAAGAAGAAGAAGAAGAGGAAGAAGAAGGAGAAGGAGAAGGAGAAGGAGAAGGAGAAGGAGAAGGAGAAGGAGAGGAAGAGGAAGAAGAAGAAGAAGGAAGAAGAAGAAGAAGAAGAAGAAGAAGAAGAGGAGAAGAAGAAGAAGAAGAAGAAGAAGAAGAAGAAGAAGAAGAAGAAGAAGAAGAAGAAGAAGAAGAAGAAGAAAACAGTTACAAATATGGTAATACTAACCCAACTTTATCAATACTTACTTTAAACAAGAATTTCAAAATAGACAAATTTAAGAATATAGATTGTCATAAAGCATTTTTAGAAAGACAAATAATATATTGTCTATAAGAAACTCATTTTAAATATAAAGACTGAGATATAGAGTGAAAACATAAAATGTGGTACATATATACCATGGAATACTATGTGGCCGTAAAACAGAATGAGATCATGTCCTTTGCAAAACATGGATGGAGCTGGAGGCTGTTATCCTTAGTAAACTAACACAAGGACAAAAAAACAAAAGCCGCATGTTTTCACTTATAATTGGGAGCTAAATGATGAATAAATGGACACAATGAGGGGAGCAACTGACACTGGGGCCTACCTAAAAGTAGAGGGTAGGAGGACAGAATGGAGCAGAAAAAAATAATAATAATAATAACTATTGGGTACTAGGCTTAGTATCTGGATGATTAAATAACCTGTACAACAAATCCCTGTGACACGAGTTTACCTATATAACAAACCTGTATGTTTACCATTGAATCTAAAATAAAAGTTTTTTTTTAAAGCTAAGATAGGTTAAAACTAAAGTGTTATTGAGTTATATCTCAATAAAGCTGTTTTAAAAATAAAGGAAGAGAGAATGATATACTATGCTACACTAATCAAAATAAACACGTAGTGGCTATATTAAATTCATACAAAGCAGATGTAAGAAAAGTTATGAAGGATAAAGGGAAGTATTATATAGTGATTAAGAGGTCAATCTTCAGACTATCATTTAATGGTTATACTGCTAAAAATGGATAATCAAAATATGCAAAAAAGAACAAAATAGACAAAATATATAAACAAACAAAAACTCTAATAGAACATCAAGAAAAATAGACATAAGCCATTATAATTGGAGACTTTAGCATCCTTCTTTCGGCAATTGATAGATTAAGGAGGCAGAAAATCAGTAAGGGTAAAGTTGATCTGAGCAACACTATGAATCAACATGATTTAATTGACATTTATTGGATACTTCATGCAAAAATGGCATAATACACATTTTTCTCAAGCTCATTTAGAACATTTACCAATAGAGATAATAGTTTAGACAAAATAAAACATATCTTACATCCAAAATAATAGAAATTAAAGTATATTTTCAAAACACAATGGAACTAAACTTTAAATCAATAACAGAAAAATAGAAAATACTCAAATATTTGAAGATTAAACAACATATCCCCAAATAACACACAAAGATAAACTCTGAAGATAAATTTTGAAATATTTTGAACTAAATAAACATCAAAATAAAATATCAAAATTTGAGAGATAGTAAAAACAGTGCTCAGAGGAAAATGTAGAGCATTAAAAACAATTATGAATAACCAGAAAGATCTAAAACAGCAATCTTAAGATTTCACCTTAGGAAACTAGGGAAAGAAGAGTGATACAAGCATAAAGTAAAAAGAAGAATATGAAAAATTTTAGCAAAAGTCAAGAAAAATAAAAACAAAAAAAATTTAAATGTCAGCAAAACTAAAAGTCAGTTCTTTAAAAGATCATCACAATTGATTAATATCTAGCCAGGCTGAGCAACAACAAAAAATAAAAATAAAGGAAAAGAAAACAAAATCTTTTGTGATACAGAGATGATAGCTACTACTATTATTGACAATATAAGTATCATAAAGTATACTACAAAAAATACTTCCCTCTCATTTGAAAACTTAGATAAAACAGATCTATTTCTTGAAAGACCCAAGCTGGCAAAATATACATGAGGAGAAATAGATAGCTTCAATAGGCTTACACCTACTAAAGATATTAAATCAATTATTAATAACTTTCAAGAAAAAAGGAAGCACCTGGCCTGGATGCATTGACTCATGAGTCTTACCAAACATTTAAGGAAGAAAAATATCTTCTCCACAATATTTTTCAGAAAATAGCAGTAGAGTAAAGAATGTCTAATTCCATTTGTGAAACCGGAATTCCCCTAATACCAAAATCCATAAAGATATTGCAAGAAAGGAAAACCAGAGATGAATATTGCTCATTAACACAGATGCAAAATTCTGCAACAAAACAATAGTAAATAAAATCTGACAGTGTCTAAAATGAAGTAAACATGATGGCCAAGTAGGATTAATTTTGGATAAACAAGTCTAGTTCAACATTTAAAAATAAAGCAATGTAATCCATCAAATCAGTAGGCTAAGGAAAAAAAAATTATGATCATGTCAAATGATGTCAAAGGCATTTGACAAAATCCAACACTCATTTATAACAAAAATGTCATGGAAATTAGGTATAAACATTTAAAATAGAAAAAGAATATCTAGAAAAGAACCCTTCATCTAACATTACATTTAATAGTGAGAAAATAGGTACCTTCTCCCTTTAGAAAGCAAGGAAAAAATGTTTTCTGTCACTATTTTCTATTAATCACCACACTAGGAGTCATATCTAGTGCAACAAGACAAGACTAATAAAAAAGTGTACAAATTAAGAGTAAAAAATAAATGTTCTTCTTTACAGATGACATTATTATCTATGTAGAAAATCCTAAAGAATTTCCAAAAAAATGTTGGGAACTAATAAATGAGTATAGCAACATCCCAAGATAAAGTGTTAATGTGATATCCAAATGTCAAATGCATTCCTATATACCAGTAATGAACAACTGAAATTTTAAATTTAAAAAATAGGGTTTACATTAGTACTGAAAAAACTTAAGTATAAGTCTAGCAAAATGTATTTAGAATCTATATGCAGAAAACAACAAAACTCTGATGAAATAAATCAAACATGTAAATAAATGAATAGATATTTAGCATTCACGAATTGGATGATTCAAGATTTTTTACATGTCAATTCTTTCTCAGTTGATCTATAGATTCAATGTAATTCCAATTACTATCTCATAAGCTCTTATTTAGATATTGACAAACTGATTGTTTTCTTAATAAAGAAAAGCTCTAATCTTTGGAAAGAAAGGCAATAAACACTGTCATACTTAGTGCACTACTAAGTATCTATTTTAGCTAGAGTAAGGGATCATATAAACAAACAGAAAAGTCTGACTTTGAGGGAGAAATAAGAATGCGTAAGACCTAAAACCATAAAAACCCTGGTAGCAAACCTAGGCAATATTATTCAGGACATAGCCATGAGCAAATACTTCATAACTAAAATACCAAAAGCAATGGCAACAAAAGCCAAAATTGACAAATGGGATCTAATTAAACTAATGGGTTTCTTTCTGCACAGCAAAAGGAACTATAATCAGAATGAACAGGCAACCCACAGAATGGAAGAAAACTTTTGCAATCTATCCAACTGACAAAGGGCTAATACCCAGAATTTATAAAGAACTTAAAGAAGTTAACAAGAAAAAAACAAACTACCCCATCAATAATTGGGCAAAGGATATGAACCTACACTTCTAAAAATAAGACATTTATGCAGCCAACAAACATATGAAAAAAAGCTCATCATCACTGGTCATTAGAGAAATGCAAATCAAAACCATAATGAGAGACCATCTCACGCCAATTAGAATGGCAATCATTTAAAAGTCAGGAAGCCACAGATGCTGGAAAGGATGTGGAGAAACAGGAATGCTTTTACACTGTTGGTGGGAGTGTAAATTAGTTCAACCATTGTGGAAGACACTGTGGCGATTCCTCAAGGATCTAGAACCAGAAATACTATCTGACCCAGCAATCCCATTACTGGGTATATACCCAAAGGATTATAAATCATTCTACTATAAAGACACATGCACACATATGTTTACCGCAGCACTGTTCACGATAGCAAAAACGTGGAACCAACCCAAATGCCCATCAATCATAGACTGGATAAAGGAAATGTGGCACATATACACCATGGAATACTATGCAGCCATAAAGAAGGATGAGTTCATGTCCTTTGCGGGGACATGGATGAAGTTGGAAACCATCATTCTCAGCAAACTAACACAAGAACAGAAAGCCAAACACCACATTTTCTCACTGATAAATGGAAGTTGAACAATGAGAACACATTGACACAGGGAGGGAAACATCACACACAGGGCCTGATGGGGGTTATGGGGCTAGGGTAGGGATAGCATTAGGAGAAATACCTAATGTAGATGATGGGTTGATGGGTGCAGCAAACCATCATGACACGTGTATAGCTATGTAGCAAACCTGAACATTCTGCACATGTATCCCAGAAATTAAAGTATAATAATAAAAAAAGAGAGAGAGAGAGAGAATTTATCCTGGACTCAGGCTACCACCCTGGGAGGGGCTAGAACATTGAAAAGGCCACACTTCTTAGATCCAGAGACACTATGCCTGCCAGATAGTGAGGCTTAATAAAATAAAAGAGAATATCTCCTACACCCATTCCTATCAACAGACCAACTACCAGCCAGTTAAAAACCAAGATTAATAAGAATTGTGTAGACAGTTAATTGCAAGAGACAAAGCATCTCTGTGACATGGTGCAAAAAGAACACTAAAGGTGACAGGGTGTCAAACACTGAAGTATTTAAAAACAAACAAAACAACTCTGGTAAACCAGCTTCCATTATAAATACAAGATTTTGCTAATAGAATTTGAAGCATATGATGTGCTAAGGGTAACAATAACATACAGACAAATAAACAAAACCCCAGTACCAACCCAACTCCTAATTGTAATAACTCAGAACCTCTCACTAAAGAACTAACATTAGAAAAAAAAAAAAAAAGATGTGTTCATGTGCAAGCTATTTATCTCAGTCTCTTCAGCCTTGCACACATGTCTGGTTTTCAACCAAAACATTACGCAGTATATGAAAAGGAAAGATAAATCAGCCCCTCAAGAAAAAACAATCATGAGAAATAGGCTTAGGCATGACAGAAATATATGACAGGTTTTTGCTTTGTTTTTAAAGCATACCAAATATTTAAAATGCTCAAGTAGAAAAGGCAGACAGCATGCAAGACCAGATGAGTAATTTCAGCAAAGTTATAGTTTTCATCTATAAAAAATAATCTAGTGGAAATGCTACAAAGAAAAAACATAGTTGTAGAAATGAAGAATGTCTTGGACAGCATTTTGGTTAATTGTATTTGTCAACCTGACACATGTAATTTGTGATTGAACTAAACTGATTGAACTTGATTGAACTAAAGGATACCCAGATAGCTGGTAAAACATTATTTCTAAGTGTGTCTCTAAAGGTACATCCAAGAGATTAGTATTTGAATTGGTGGACTGAGTAAAGAAGATTACCCTTACTAATGTGAGTAGGCATCATTCAAACCATTGATCATCTGAACTGAAAAAAAAAAAAAGAGAGAGAGAGAGAGGAAGGAGAAATTTGCTGTGTGCTTGACTGTGGACCTTGCTGCTCTTGGTTCTCTGGCTTTTGGACTTTGACAAGGACTTACATAATTGGCTCCTCTGGTCCTTAGATTTGGACTAAAACTACTCCAACAATTTTCCTGGACCTCCAGCTTGCAGACTGAAGACTGTGGGACTTCTCAGCATCCATAATCACTTCAGCCAATCCCTTATAAGAAATATCTTTCTATATATCAATATGCATATCCTATTGATTCTGGGTTTTTGTTTTGTTTTGTTTTTGGAGAACTGTAATACAGACAGATCATCAATAGATAAGATGCATACAAGGAAAATATTGGTGATCTTGAAGATGGTTATATAAAAATCACTCAAATTGAATTGGTTTATTTATTTATTTTTACTGATTGCTTTGCTTTTCATTTTCTTCCCTTTTACTAGCTTCTTAAGCTTAAATTACTGATTTTTTTTTTCTCAAACGGAGTTTTGCTCTTGTTGCCCAGGTTGGAGTGCAATGGCATGATCTTGGCTCACCACAACCTCTGTCTCCCAGATTCAAGTGATTTTCCTGCCTCAGCCTCCTGAGTAGGTGGGATTACAGGCATACGTCACCATGCTCAGCTAATTTTGTATTTTTATTAGAGACAGGGTTTCTCCATGTTGGTCAGGCTGGTCTCAAACTCCTGATCTCAGGTGATCCGCCTGCCTCGGCCTCTCAAAGTGCTGGGTTTACAGGTGTGAGCCACCACACCTGGCCAAATTATTGATTTTATACCTTTGTTCTTTTCTAACGTAAACAGTTGGTGCTAAAATTTTTCCTTTGAGCATCCCTTTAGCATGTCCCACAAATTTTATGTTGTATATTACACTTTATTCACTTCAATTTTAAAAAAACATTTTTTATGTTTCTTTATCCCATTTGTTATTTAGCAATGAGTAAATTTTTCCACAGCAATACGGGCTAGCAGTTCTATAACTAGCTAATATACATATATATGTTAGGGTTGAATAACAAGAAAATATGTAATAGATAATGAGAGCTAAGTTTCTGGAGAAAGAAATTACAAGTGAGCAGAGGGATGAGTCTAGAATGAACCTGGTGCTTTTGGATTGATGTTGCAGGTTTCAGTGTGAACTTATTTATATATACATATAGAGAGACGCAAAAATCAATATAGACTATCTCTTCATACATGTATGAGTATACATATATGTGTATATTTCCTAACTTTGTCAGTTGTGTCATGCCAGAAGCAATGAGCATATCTAGGATGCATATGTCAGCTTCTAAAGACCTTAGTTTTTTAATAAAAGATCCAGAAATCCTTAGAGAAGTGGTTGATCCAGAGCTGGATCAAGGACAAAACAAAACATGCCTCACTGAAGAAGTTGTCAATTAAAAACAAAACAAACAAACAAACAAAAAATAGGTGCATGAAGAAAGAATGTCAGTACTCACTCAGAAGAACTCCTAAGGGCCAAAACTGGAACAACTTGAACAACAAAATACATAATTATAGTGTTGAATTATAAACCACCCCCCAAATAAAACAATACTCCTGAGTCCATACTTATGTAAGTTAATGACTGAATAAGTAAATAGGAGGGCGTAATTCTTTCCAACAGAAAGATTTCAAATTCATAAGTATGACAGAAGTGAGAGAAATAGGAAACATCATTAGAAGACCACAGTAATATTTGCTAAAGGCAAGATCCACAGATAGTTTTAAAATTAATGGTCTAAAGTTTAAGAAAAATTGGATATTACATGGTCTAAAAAGAACTCCTGCAATAATTTAAAAAATACTAAGGGAAGAATAAAAGCTTTCTAGTGAAGAAACTTGGCAGTCGTCACTTTAATCAACTGATCAATGTTACAATCACCAGTAATAACACATATTGAGATTATGAATCCCCAAAACAATGTGCTAAGAAACACACCATCTCTTCTAAATTATTCTTCCCTAAGATATATAACCTCAGTATAATCTGAGAAAGTATCAAACAAGTCCATAATGAAGGGCATTCTAAAAATTAGTTACTAGTATGCTTCTAAGGTATCAAGGTAATGAAACAGAAAACACAGAGAAATTGTCACAGACTGAAGAAAACTAATGAGGTATGACAGTGCTGAAAACCTGGATTGGATTTTGGAACAACAATAAAAAAGGTCATTAACAAAAAAACTGATGATATTTGAGTAAATCTGCCGCTTAGATAATAGTGTTGTATCTACAGTAATTGCTTAGTTTCGATAACTGTATTATGGTTATGTAAAATATTAACATTAGGGGAAGCTATTGAAACATATAACAATGAATTACTCTTACAACTCTTCTGTAAACCCAAAATTACTTCAAAAATAAAACAAATAAAAATTGCAACAGATATAGCTATAATTTACTGTAAAATATTAATCTCACTTTTCTTGGCCTCTTTTCCCTTTCATCTTTTCTTATTTTTGATGTTGATGCCTTAGTAATATTTTCTCTGAGCATTTTTATATCATTCCATTTAAAGAATTTTCATATTAATATTACCCTCATTTATTATACAACTTTACAAGTATTTATTTTCTTAAATATTGAATTTATCATTCTGTAAATAAGATTTTTTTTTTTGAGATGGAGTCTTGCTATGTCACCCAGACTGGAGTGCAGTGGCATGATCTCGTCTCACTGTTGCAACCTCCACCCTCCGAGTTCAAGTGATTCTCCTGCCTCAGCCTCCTGAGTAGAAATATCTGCCTCTTTTTCAGCTTATACATTAGAATCATTCTTTGGATTCTAAATATTTCACCAATTGATAGCCTTAAATGCAAAAACCACACATTCTATATTTCATATGAAGATATTTATGTCATACACTTATGGGATATGAAAATATCGATATTAATGTGTTCTGGGATAATTTATATGCTAACATGTAATTGATCGTTTGTACAATAAAAACTAAACATATTCTATTTTTTGTTCCTGTTTTTTTTCTTATTCAGTACAGTAAATTAGCTTCTCTATTCCCTGGCTTAGATGAGAAACCGAATTCAACAAATATTTGTTAATTAATTAGGATAGATAAGAATACAAGATTAGAAAGAAACAGCTTCTCTCCTTAGGGCAGTGGTTCTCAAAGTATTGTATCTTAAGGAGCAGCACCAGCATAATGTATAAAGTTGTTAGAAATGCAAATAACCTAGGCTCCATTCCTGACCTACTGAATCAGAAACTCTTTCTTAACAAGGCACCCTGGTGATTTTCATGCATGCTAAAGAACAGCTGCCTTAAGAATTAAGCAAATCACTAAGGATGTCCTTGTTCTTCTTCCACTTTTTTTTTTTTTTTTTTTTTTTTTAAGACGGAGTCTCCCTCTGTTGCCAAGCTGGAATGCAATGGCAGGATGTCAGCTCACTACAACTTCCGACTCCCCGGTTCAAGTGGTTCTCCTGCCTCAGCCTCCTGAGTAGCTGAGATTGCAGGCACGCGCCACCACGCCCAGGTAATTTTTCTATTTTTGGTAGAGACGGGGTTTCACCATTTTGGCCAGGATGGTCTCGATCTTCTGACCTCCTGATCCGCCTGCCTCAGCCTCCCAAAGTGCTGGGATTACAGGCTTGAGCCACCACACCCAGCCTTCTTCCTCCACTTTTAACAGCATTTTTACTTCCGAAGCTGTAATCTTTCCAATACTTTCCAGAACTTTGATGGAAATTCATATTTACTTATTCTCATGACATGTAATAAAAGTTTAATACATAGCTTCAAAGAGACTTTAAGAAAATTTATTACAAGAGCAGAATTGTACTCCTAATATAGTTGACTACTGTTCGGAATAGACAAGAGGTTAAATTTTAAACATGTGGAGGTCTATTAGCCATAACTTCCCTGGAGAATGTCCAACTTCCTCTGTATTCAGTTTTCTTATTTCTTCATTATCTCATTGTCTTATTCACAGACAGACTCAGACCAGCAGATACACATTTGGAAGACACTGAGCTAGAACATAGCATCAATTCCACACAATGTATTCTCTACACAGGCAAATTAGTCTGCTCTCTTGTGTGTTGAATTAAAGCCTAAAAATAAGATGACTTTAAAAGAAATCATATCATAGGCCAATAGAACATAATTGTTAATTGTGTTCTAGTAAATTAACTAGTGGAAGTGGGGTGCTTGTTTGTAGTATCTGCTGATATCTCTGGGATAAATACTTCTACAATGGCTGATTTTCAACAACCAATGGTTTAACCACTGATTTGCAGAATTCCTGAATATTTAATAGTCTGCTCTCATTAGTCCATGTCAGCTGTCTAGCATCCCACTAGATTTAATCATCTTTCATAAATATGCAGAAATAGTATTCCATTTCGTAGAACTTTAAGAAATGTATTACTTATTGGGTAATGACAAGTCAACATAAAAGGCTGGTGAAAATTTAAGTCATGGGGAGATATTTGTCCATTCATTTATAAGATGGCAGAGGCATGTTAATCTGTGTGTTATACTTTTCACGCACACTCCAGGGTACATTTCTTAGTGGGCTCTGTGTATTCACAACTTGTATATATTTTATGTTCTTCTATTTCATGAACATAAAAAGCTGACAGGAAAAAACTTCCCACCTCCTGCAGATCCCACCAGGTCTTTATAGATTGCCATCTAGTGAGAGGCTCTTCTCTGTAATGCTAGTCAATGTCACATCAAAGTTTTCTGTACCCAGGGAAGGCTCTCTTGCCCTGATGCCAGACTTTGTTTAATCACTACATTGACTACAGTCATAATAATATTAGTCAAGAGAGAAATACTGTGCTTCTAAGGACTCATAACCCACATCATATTATTTTTCTCTATATCCTAGGCTTTGTCAAAATTTAAATGAGACTTTTCTTATAGTGTATTAATTCTGTTCTTTTTAGGAAACTATCTTAGCTCACAATTACTATGTAATTTGTATACTTTTAGATATTATAATAGTTTTTAAATAATCTTGCCTAATTTAATTTCATTAACTTTTATTTACTATTTCCAATTATGACTTCTGCTATCATTGCTAGTACCAATACTTAAGTGCCTTCTAGTCTAGGAATTTATATTTTAAAAATTAAATTGAATAAGTTATCTGGGCTAAAGCTATTTTCTCAGATATTATAAAATTAGAAATTATATCCACTTTGAAAGATTACATTATTTTAAAGCCCTACTTTTTTATATGAATAAACGCAATATACATTTGATTTGCATAAAGGACATTTGTATATAAAGTAAAATGAGAGAAAAGTTAAATCAATTAATTCCCTGGTTTATTAAAATTTTTACATTTCTTAACTTATACAGAAATAGAGAAGTCACTGTAACTGAGTATAGATTTAAGAAGTGTAGGCTAATCTCTTATGGGAGTGTTATGAGAATAATACCATTTCACATTAGTTGAGAGAAAATAATTTTTGAATAAATAACACTAGAGCACATAATTAACAACCTGAACAAACTAAATTCAGTTTTACATCAAGACATATGGAAAAATAAATTTAAATTCAAGGAAACTATTAAAAAGTTAAACAAAACATACTAACCAGAAGTACAGGTTTACTTAAAAGTTTTTGGACAAAATGTCTGCACGAATATGTGCCTGTATGTGTTAAATAATCCCAATGTAGCGTTTAATAATATTAAAAAACATTTTACTCATCTAATTGGCACAGTTCAAATATTGATAGTATCCAGCATTAGGATGAAAAGAAAGAAGTGGGAGTTCTCATGTACTTCTGATTGGATTAAGAACTGCTTTCTTTTTTTGTGGTGAAATAGGCAATATTTATTAATAGACAAAAAAATTTACTTGGCCCAATAATTCTATTTCTTCATATTTTTCACTAGGAAATATTGAAATAGGTGGTGAAAATGCATGTATAAGAATGTTTCTTGATGTATTATTTATAACAGTAATTTAACATCAATTTGTATTTCAATCAAAAAACTGTGTTTTTCTATACATTGGAATGCTATGTAGCCCTTAAAACAATAGCGTTGATTGGTACCTATTGGCATCTGAAGATGCTTTGACATGTACAAAAGAATTTACCAAATTATAGATATACACAGACACACACACATTCATAATATGATCCAATTAAGATAAAAAATCTTTAAAAGCTCACATATGACAGTGTTTAAACTCTTTTAAGTTTAATTCAGCTGAAATTTTTCTTTTATCAAATGGTGTCAGAAGCAGGATTCAAAGTAGAGCTTCTAATGACCCCCAGGAGCACTGAATGAACAAGCAAGGTACCTGCAGGACCCATTTGTGTCCCTTGATCTCTCAGAGCAGCTGGGGATCATAACTTCTCTCTTGTATTTCAGAGCTCCACAGATTTGTGTTTTGAGCTATTTGAGTTTCTTTGAGCAAGTTTCTGATCCAAACTGGGTTTCGAAGTCATGACAGAAAATGGAATGGGTCCAGGAATGGATTTGATCTGGGAATTAACTGGTTTGGATCCAGTTAGAGGCCTCTTACATCTGACTGGGTCAGAAAGAAACTGGTAGCAAATGGTAACATTGTAGGAGTTATAAAATTTGGCTTTTGAAAATTCACAGGGATTTTTGAGTTCCACCCCTTTGTTTAATTTTCTTGCACACTTAGGTAGAAAAAAATATCATTGGCTAAGTTAATCAAAGGAACCTGAGAGTAAAGCCAATATTTTAGGTAAAAATGGGATCCTTAATTCCTGGAAAACCAAGTTCCTTCTGGCTTATATGTTAGGCCCAGGAGGCAATGAAGCTCACAGAAAAGGAAAAATCTTACTAAAGATAACTTACAGTGGTTCATTCCAAATGAACAACAACATGCAGAAATGCATTTAAAAATGAGGGTTCCCAAATTAGTCTAATCTAAGGATGCCTATTAATATGCAGAAGCTTCTTTAAAACATTAGAGATTACGGGACCTATCTGGGGGCACATTTGGGCCTCGCCAGTTTGATATTGGGTGCTAAGCTGAGGGCTAATGTCTATGTTTTGTCAACATGTTTTGCTCTGGCCAGAATGGAAACAGATAATTTTTCTTTGTGTTGTGGCTTGGTCCCAGGGATGTGGTGCAGCCAGCCAGGTCGCTAGGGCTGCTCAGTGAAAGGGAACCTAGAGATCTGATATGCTGGCAGAAGGATAAGAATTGCTTACCAGTCAGATTTCTGGCCTCTTTTTCTCTATGCAAACTTGTTAAATGAATGGTAAAAATCACTGTTTATCTCCTCTGTAAAGTTTTAATTAACATGAAAAAAAATTCTGAGGCTGGTCTTAAGCTATAGTAAATCTGGTTTGCTTTGTGTGTCTTTCTGTACTGCTCTGTTATGAAGAGGGGTAACTTAGGATAAAATGCATGCCTAAAACCACATGAGCTCACTGTTCAAGATGGCCCAGCAAACTGGTCAATAAAAAAATTGTTGAGGTCTCCATCTTGTATTGTATGTCCTTGGGAGCTTGATCTGGTAACCCACATGGCAATATTTCTCAGTCTCCACCATCACAATGGCTGCTTGGTTCATGGTTCAATTGCCAGCATAGGGAATGAGTACTTTCTGATTGATATTTGTGTTACCTTTGCCATTTTTAAATTCCCTTCCCCTCCATGAACCATCTTCAATTTTCCTTTTATAAGTACAATAATAACAGCTGTTTGGCCTGGCTAAAGTTACATGATAAGCAATCTAAAAGAACTTTTATTAAAGAGTGCTGTGGTTAAAAGGTCAGCTTAATTAAAAGCAGATATTCAAGCTCTAACAGCCTGGGACTCCTTGGGAAAAGACGAGGCACCAGAGACCCTTTCTGGGCCCTATTCTTCCAAGAACTCCACCCTAAAGCCAGTCATTTAATTAAGAAGCTTAGAAACTGATAAATGGACACTTACAACTACTGTAATAGTCTTCTTTCTATCTGTCTGTGCAGTTATATATGTGTTGTGTGTGTAATGTTTATATAAAAGAGCTCTAATTAATTGGCTTAAAGAAAAATAAGCATTTAAATAAAATATTAAAAAAAAGAATAACTGTAATGCCTTTTAGTTCATATGATTTTAGTAAACTTTGGGAAATAAAACATTTTAAACATAATTGGCAAAAATAAAGACATTTGGTCTAAATGATGCAGGTCAGATACTTGGTTTGCTAAATGCTTTAAGGTCATAAACTGAGTTGACTTTTAAGGCCTGGGGACATGTGGAATTAGCCATGGCCACTAGTTATGCAAAGAACATTATAAAGAAAAAAGATTTTTTATAAGAAAGGATATTATATGGTAAATTCTTGACCTAAAGTAAAATGACTTATTGTTTAAAAAGAGGGATGTTTAGGACAAGTCAGGAAGTCCAAGCATGTTGTAGATGATCTATGTAAGTTATGAAAGGAAATTTATGCGCCAAAAGTGAAAGTTGCTAAGAATTACCACTATAACATGTAATTGAGACTACTGAAAAAAGTAGGTTTATGTGTAAGGTATGTGAGGAGAGTGAAATGTGTTTCTCGTAAAAGATTATAAGAGAGCACAGAAATGTACATTTTGTCTAGTTTAAAGGGTTAAAGGATTGTTTTAAATTAGATAAGATAAAGCTAAGGGTTTAAACTAGTGTGGAATGGTTATAAAAATTTAATCTTGTAAAAGAAATTCAGTGTGTGAACACATTGGCTAAATTTAAAGAGGAATTATTCAGTTTTTCCTTAAATTAAACATTGGAATAAAAACACAACAGGGTTTTCTTAAAGCACTAATCTGCTCTTTTACTTATAAAAGGTTTATGAGAATTTCACCTTATGGTCTAACTGATTAAGATTGAATAGATTTGTCTATAAGGTTTATTAAAAATTGGGGTTGATGTAAATAGTAGACTAATGCAAGGATGAATTTGGCTTTCTCTCTTGAAAAATATTTTTATGTAATATTAAAAGATAATGAAAGTTTTTGTTTGCCTTTTGAATGAACTACTGAAAAAGGTGGGAAAAACAAGAGATACATTGTTTAGAAGGCTGTCTTCCCTCTACTGATGAGTGAAGTTTTTTGCCTTTTTTTTTTTTTTAACATTTTTGAGTCATCACGTTGGCCAAATGAATGACTTATGGTAACCTAGAATTCTATTTCATAATATTAAGTGTTTTAAACCTTTAACACATTTTATAGGATTCTCAAAATCAAATTTCAGCTTTGAAATGGTCTTTTCTGACCTTTAACTTTGGGATGCTACAGAGGGCCCCTGAAACATCCAAAAGAGGAGTAAACAAGATTATTTGACATGTTAAGGTACAAGGGAAGCATTGTTAAAATAAAAATAATGTTTAATTTTCAAGTTATATTTTAGTAAATTATATTAATATATGTTCCTAAATTTTATGGGATTTCTAAAATTCTAATGGGGGTCCGAGTATATGCTATCAATCACAATTATGGCTATTATGTTAAGTTATTGTAGACCATAGCAATAACCAAATTTCCTGGTTAATTGTGTTTTTAACTATATTTAAAGTCATTTCCACAGTTAATTGCAGTTTATGAAAACTTTAAAAGCATGGTGGTATCTTTTAGGAGGTCCATGAAAGGATGGAAAGGACCCTGAAAAGCATTCTTGAATACAGGTTTCTAATAACTTTAGAATCATATCTCTTGAATTGGGTAAAAATTCCTGGAACTTTAATGAAAAGACTTACTGGGTTATAAAACTGCTAACCCAAGTAGAACAAAAATTAATTGAATACCAAGGAAACACTTTGCCATATTTTCATGCTAAATCAGCCAATGCTGAAATTGTTTAGATACTCAATTTGAATGAAATCCATAGTCTAAGTCAAATAACCTATGATAACCCATCAGTTAACTGTGCTACGCACCTAATTTGGAGAAACAACTGGTATTTAAGGGACATAAATGCAATGTTAAGCATAGACTCATGGAGAACCAGGACAGCCACCTTGTCCATCCTGAATCCTCAAAGCTTTTATTATTAAAAGTTTTGCATTCCATGACTCATCATAGAAAAGATAAAATGATCCTGATTAAATATATTGATGTGGTGTGACTTAAAAATTGTGAAAATAGATTATAACCAATGTTTGGTTCCATATTACTGGGAATACAATCAAAGCTTCAGGTACATTTGGCTACCTGTTAGGTAATTTAAACATTTATAAAGGGATTTCATTCAATTGTCATTTTCAATGCATGTTTTTTGGTTGTATAAAAGCTTTCCCATGCCAGAGGGCTGATGTTATGTCACTAAGTTATTGTGCCACAGTGATTTTCATCTGGTTAAGAAAGGTTTTTATGGCTCACTAAGGACAATCATCCCCTTCACAATCTAAAACGTGAAGACTGGATCTTCTAAAAACATCAGAGAGAAACTGCCCTTGCCATACACACTGCAACAAAACTATGGAACCTTAAATTTTGGGTTTATAATCTCACAACTGATAAGGGTCCCTTCGCACTCTTGAAACTGTACACCCGTTGGAACCCTTAAAGTAAAGATAACTAGGGAAGTTTCTCCCCAGAAGAAGATGGTATTCTTGATGTGAATAGCTTTTCCCAAAATCATGGATCAAGATTTCTCTACTATTATGAGACTCGTATCTTTGAGTATTTTTATCTTGCTTATGGTTCTATAAAAAATAGAAGTGGAAAAGGGGTCTGTTGTATGCACTTATAGAGTATACTTGTTTGTGAAGGATTTTGCAGCCATACTTATACATGGATAATCCTATACTTTGATATATAAAAGATGAAGTCCCAATGTAAGTGAGAAACTTTAATGGTAATATGTTGCCTCCTAATCAGTCAGAAACAGAACATTGATACACTCCTCTCAACCCACATCATGGACTAAAGGGAACATTGCCAGAGTCCTTCACTCTTCTGGAAGGGCATCATTTGTTGGGTTCTTTTTCCATGGTTTGGAATAAAAGAGGCAATTATTAGAAATGTATCCCTCATAATGGCTATATAGAAGATTCTACTGTAAAGGCTATGGTTACAAAACAGACTTTAAATTCTCTTTTAAATGTTATGCTAAATAGTAAAAGTGGCTAGACAGAGAAGTATCTGTGCAGCTGCTGGCACCTATATCCTGTGGAAAAAACTTTGGGTACTATAGAGATTCAATTGAAGGGGATTAACAAAAAGACCACTTAGTTAAGAGAATAAACTCCTTATCTAGCTCATTCTTTGATCTATTTGAGTTTACATGGCTTGGTTTATGGGGATCCTGGTTAAGGAGCATATTCCAAGCTCTCGGTTTTATCCTCCAATAGTCAAAATAATAGTCTCCTTGGTGTGTTGTATTCTCTCAAAGGTTTTAAATGTTTGCATGCAGCCATCTCTGGAACATCAAATGGTCTCTCTTCAACTGGAATGACAAGAGCTAAAAGAAATGTGGGACCATGAGGACACTGTAACCTATAAATGACATGCTGAGAGCAGACACAAAATGATGGTAACAGAGAATGGCACTAAGGCCCTAAGTTTTGGTCACACTCTCACCTAAGTGAGCACCTGACCAAACAGGGAGGAACTTTTTAAAACAAAATTATGGGAGACCATTGTTTTGGATTCAGCTCATGCACTACACCTCAACAGACCAAACCAAACAAAACTGGAGTCACTCATGCTAAAAGTAACATAATGAAACTGAGACTTTAAGGAAACACATAGATCTTAGACCAGAACAGACCAGGTTTTGTTTCTCTCCTGTAAACAGGGCATTCTAGCATAAGGGGAAGTTCCCTCTACTCAGTGTTTGTTCCTACCTTTACAAAACTCATTGTTCTACTGATTCCCAGTGGGTTTCACTACCAAATAAGTACATCTACTATGGTGATAGTGACATCAATGACTAAAGTTTTGGTAAATCTCTCTCAAAAATGGAGAAAATGACCAAAAGGGGGGAATTGGTAAAGCAAACTAGAAGGCCTGAGAAGGACTCCATACTTCTTTATTTGAGTCATTGTGGACAAACTGCAACCTAACTTCATAGGTAGACAAAATTGAAAATCTAACTTTGGAGTATGTGCCTGTAACAATAGCTGAGTCTTCTCCAATCCCAGTGGCCGTTCTTCCACCATTCTTACACTGCTAAGTGTTCAAACTCTATTCAAATAAAGCAAATGCCAACCTGAAACCAATCCAGCTGTTCTGTACCTCACTTCTGATTTCTGTACATCATTTCCCTTTTTTGTCTATAAATCTTCTACCACCATGTGGCTGCACTGGAGTCTCTTTGAATCTGCTGTGATTCTGGGGGCTGCCTAATTCATGAACAGATTATTGCTAAATTAAATTCCTTTAAATTTAATTGAGCTGAAGTTTTTATTTTTTAAATAACAAAACAACAATGAAAAGACTGGAAATTAAACAGCCAAAAATAAAAAAAAATAGGCCAAGATCCAGTGCTAAATATAAGCAGGGTGATTATCTACTATGTTAAATGATATAAACAGGAAAAGAATTTGCTAGCATAATAAATTAAATATCTAAGGATACAATGGGAAACCATCCAGCATATCAAGAACTGATTCCAATGCTGAAATGAATCAGAAATTAAAATTATCTGAGAAGGATTTTAATACAACTTTTATAAAGTTACTTCAGCAAGTGATTGTAAATACTCTTGAAACAATTTTTAAAAATATAACATTTCAGCAGAGAAACAGAAATTATAATAAAGAACCAAATAATTATACAACTGAAAAAATATAAAAAATAGAAATCAAAACTCACTGACTGCAGTAAATGGAGATAGTACAATTGAGATAACAAAAAACAAAATCAGTGAACTTTAGTAGTAAACAATAAAGTTCAGTCAATCTGAGAAAAAGAGAAAAGGTAGACTAAAAAGGAAAGAGAACTCAGATCTGAGGGACAATAACAAAGGTTCCAACATTCATATTATCAGAATCTAAGAATGAGAGAAGAAAAAAAGTAAGAATAAAAGAGGAGATAAAAATGCTTAAAACTCTCCAACTTTGGTGAAATATACAAACATATTCATCCAAGAAGCTGAGAGAGAGTCTCAAACCCAAGGAAATCCACGCTAATAAATTGTATAGTATTGACAAGAAAAGTAAAGACAAGAAAATTTTGAAATCAGCCAGAGAGAAATAATGCATTAAATATGAGGAAACTCCACTTCAAATGATAGTGACTTTCTCATCTATGACAATGGAGGTCAGAGGGAAGTGACATCTTACCTCTCTCTCTCTCTATATATATATATAACTCAGCTATTGTTACAGGCACATACTCCAAAGTTAGTATAAATATATATGGTCATATATTTATATAGAATATATATTATATACATATTATGATATATATTTAATATATAAGTTTATGTATTTATATATAAATTGATTTATATTATAATATATAAACAATATATAATTAAGATTGGTGAAAAAGTAATTGCAGTTTTTGCCTTTGAAAGTAATGGCAAAAACCACAATTACTTTGCACGAACCTTATATATATATATATGAATATATAAAAATGTAATTATATATAATATATAATATGTACATGTAATAAATATATTATTTATAGATAATTTATACATAATATATAATTACACATATTTTATATATAATTATTATATTTATGGACTAGTATATGGTCAAACTTAATATAATATAAATTTATATATAACATACGCATATATAAATATATAATTTATGTGGATTATATAAAAATTTATATATATATAAAGATAATATATAAAAATAAAGATGAAATTCTAAAACATATTGAAGGAACCTGTAAGAAAAAAGAAACAGGTAAGTGACAACCAGTAAAACAATTGAAAAACAAAGTAACAGGGTTAAACACTAACATATCAATAATTATTTTAAATATAAATTCCATAAATTCCCAAATCAAAAGGTAGAGGTTGAAATAGTGGATAAAAAACTCGGCCAACTACATAGTGCTGAAAATAATTTAAAATTTAGTGACAAAAGTAGATTACAAATAATAGGATGAAAAAAGATATACTATGCAAATATTAACTTCAAAAAGAAGAAGTGGTTATCATAATATTAGCTAAAATAGGTTTCAGATCATAGAAAATTGCTACAGACCAAAAGAGATACTACATAATGTTAACAGAAAGCCTACAAAGTCATAATAATCCTAAATGTACATGTACCAAATAGCAGTGTCTCCGATTACATGAAGTGCAAACTGATACAACTGAAAGAAGAACAGGGCACATCCACAATCATAGTTGTGGAGTTTTACATCAAGTGGTAGAACTACTAAACAAAATATCAGCATGTTTACAGAAGAACTGAACATCAACTAACTGCATATAATTCATATTTTAAAAATACCTAACCCCACAACAGCAAAATATATGTTTTCCCTATGGAATATTTACTAAGACCATATCTTGGGCCATAAAGAAAACCTTAAGAAGTTTTCAAAATTGAAATAATACAGTGTTTTCTCTGACCATAATGGATTAAAGCTAGAAATCAATAACAGAAGTACAACAACAAAAACTTCTAAACAAGTATAAATGAAACAAAACATTTTTCAGCCATTTATTGGTAAAAGAGGGAGCAATAAAAAAGAAATAAAGTGTACATATAATGGAGTGATTTAAAAGATGTTCAAATATTTTGATGCAGGTAGTGTGATAACAAGAGCAAAATTAGTAGTAGTAAATGCTTACATTATAATTAAGAAAAGATCTCAAATGAGTAACTGAAGATCGTACCTCAATGAACTAAAAAGTAAGAGTAAAAAATACAAAGCAGGCAGAAGGAATCAAATAACAGTAATAGGAACATAAATCAATGAACTGAAAATAAAAAAAAACAGAAAATTATTAAAGCTAAGAGCTGAAACTTTGAAAGAGTATCGATAAACTTAATAAAACTCTAGTAAGGCAGGCAATAAACAAGAAAAGAGAGAAAGACAAAATACCAATCACCAATATCAAGATTGAAATAAGCGATAATGCTACAAATCTTGAAGCCATCAAAAAGAAACACATTAATGCTATGAACAACTTTTTATTCATTTGGCAACTCAGAAGTTATCATTCTTAGAGAATATCTAATAGAGTCTTAGAAAATTACAAACTACCAAAGAAAATCAAGATAAAATAGACAACCTGAATAGTCTTATATCTATAACAAAATTGAATTGACAACTTAAGAAAAATATTTCTAGACCCAGAAGAAGTTACAGAGAATTCTACCAAATATTTAAAGAATAATTAATATCAATTTTATATAATCTATTCTAGAAAAATAGAAAAAGAGGAAACACTTCTTACTTCATTTTACAAAATCCATGTTACCCTGACACCAAAAAAAAAAAATACAGAACAGAAAAGAAAATGACAGTTCAATATCTCTCATAAATTTAGATGCAACATTTTCTAAAAATGAGTAAATCTAATAATAAAATGTATAAAAAGAATTTTACACTGTTACCAAATTAAAATTTTTACAGGAATTTATTTTTTATTATACTTTAAGTTCTGGGATACACGTGCAGAATGGGCAGGTTTGTTACACAGTATTCACGTGCCATGGTGTTTTGCTGCATCCATCAACCCATCATCTACGTTAGGTATTTCTCCTAATGCTATCTCTCCCCTAGCCCCGCACCCCCCGACAGGTCCCGGTGTGTGATGTTCCCCTCCCTGTGTCCATGTATTCTCATTGTTCAACTCCTACTTATGAGTGAGAACATGCAGTGTTTGGTTTTCTGTTCCTGTGTTAGTTTGCTGAGTGATGGTTTCCAGCTTCATCCATGTCCCTGCAAAGGATAAAAGGACATGAACTCATCCTTTTTTATGGCTGCATAGTATTCTGTGGTGTACATGTGTCACATTTTCTTTATCCAGTCTATCATTGATGGGCATTTTGGTTGGCTCCAAGTCTGCTATTGTGAATAGTGCTGCAATAAACATATGTGTGCATGTGTCTTTATAAGAGAATGACTTATAATCCTTTGGGTATATCCCTAGTAATGGGATTGCTGGGTCAAATGGTAATTCTAATTCTAGATACTTCAGGAATTGCCACACTGTCTTCCACAATGGTTGAACTAATTTACACTCCCACCAACAGTGTGAAAGTGTTCTTATTTCTCCACATCCTCTCCAGCATCTGTTGTTTCCTGACTTTTTAATGATTACCATTCTAACTGGCATGAGATGGTAGCTCATTGTGGTTTTGATTTGCATTTCTCTAATGACTACTGATGATGAGCTTTTTTCATATTTTGTTGGCCACATAGATTTCTTCTTTTGAGAAGTGTCTGTTCATATCCTTTGCCCACTTTTTGATTTTTTTTCTTATAAATTTGTTTAAGTTCCTTGTGGAATATGGATATTAGCTCTTTTTCAGATGGATAGATTGCAAAAAACTTCTCCGATTCTGTAGGTTGCTTGTTCACTCTGATGATAATTTATTTTGCTGTGCAGAAGCTCTTTAGTTTAATTAGGTCTCATTTGTCAATTTTCGCTTTTGTTGCCTTTGCTTTTGGTGTTTTAGTCATGAATTTAAATCTAATTCACCATTCGAAAACTAATGAATGCCATCAACCATATCAACAGGCTAGATAAGACAAATTATTTGAGCATATCAATTGATGCAGAAAACACAGTTGACAAAAATTTTACATCAACTCATGATTCAGAAAATAATGAGACCTCAAAAAGGAACTATCAAAGCTTAATAATGGGCTCTAACTATGGAATATCTACAAAATGACAAAGAATTCAGAATAATCCTCTCAAAGGAGTTCAGTGAACTACAAAAAATATATTAAAAAGATACAACAAAAATAGATGTTTGACAAAGAAATAGAAACAACTTTAAAAACCAAATAGAAATCCTAGAGATAAATAATAAAATGATGGAACTTAAAAATGTAATAGAAAGCTTCAACAGTAAGCTCAATTAAGCTGAAGAAAGAATCAATAAATCAAAAGGCAAAATATTTGGAATTATTTAATCTGAGGACAAAAAGAAGAATTAAAAAGTCTAAGGAAATTATGGAACAGTATTAATAAACACAACCTACATATAATAGGAATTTAAGAAAGAGTAAAATGAAAGTAGCCAGACAGAATATTTAAAGAAATAGTGGCTGAAAACTTTCCTAATTTGAGAGAATATGCCAATATCTAAGTAAAGGAAATGTAAAGGTGTCCAGTCAAAATCAACCCAGAGAGGAATTCACCAAGCCACATAATAATTGAATTATCGAAAAATCTAAGACAAAGAAAATATTTATAAAGCAAATAAAGTTAAGAAACATATCACATAAGAAGAGGTTTCAATATGACTATCAGCGCATTTTTTAGCAGAAATATTGCTGTTTAGAAGAAAGCAGAATGACATGTTTAAAGTGCTGAAGAGAAAAACAAAAACGAACTGCCAAATACTTTAACTAGCAAAGTTGTCTTCTGAAATGAGAAAGAAAAACTTTCCCAAAGAAACAGAAGATAAGCAAGTTCATCATTCCTAGGTCTGCCTTACAGCAGTTACTAAAGGGAGTTCATTAAGCTGAAACAAAAGATAGCTAATTAATAACGTAAAAAATACAAATGCATAAAATTTAAACTTATAGGTAATACAGAGGTATAAATAAGTTAGGGCTGTTTGTGTAAAGGAATTCTATCCCTACTTTGAGGATTAGAAGATAACTATAGCTAAAATAAATTATCGAGACACATATTACAAAATAATGTAAATTCTGACATCAAACACATGTTGTGGAGGGTAGAATAAAAGTCTGGAGTTGTATACAAAATTAAGTTGTTATCACCTGAAATAGACTGTAATAAGTATAAGACTTACATATGTTTTATAATAATCACAAAGGAAAAATCTATAATAGATACACTAAACAAAAATAGAAAGGATTCAAACATACCACTACAGAAAACCATCAGACCACAAAGGAAGGCAGTAAGATAGAAAAAAACATAACAATAATCTAAAAACCAAAGCAAAACAAACAAACCAAACCCAGAAAACAATAAACAAGATGACAGTAGTAGGTCCTGTAAATGAAATAATTCCTGTAAATAAAATGGATTAAATTATTCATAGAAAAGACTGTACAATAATTCCTGTAAATGAAAACGGATTAAATTATCCATAGAAAAGACTGAGTGAATGCATGGATTACAAAAAAAATACTCAATGGTATGCTGCCTATAAGAGCCTCATCTCACCTTTAAAAGCAAATATAAATGAAGAGATAGTAAAAGATGCTTCATGCAAATAGAAATGGAAAAAAGCCAAGGTACCTATATGTATATCAGACTAAATAGATTTTAGGTCAAAAACTATAAAAATGTAAAAAGAGACAAAGAAGGACATTATATAGTCATAAAAGGGTAAATTTATGAAGTGAATATAATAATTGTAAATATATGGGTCCACAAATGGAGCACCTAAATATATAAAATAAATATTAAAGAATCTGAAAAGAATGATGCAATACAAGAATAGGAACTTTAGTGCCTCACTTTTAGCAGTGGACAGATTATCTAGACCGAAAATTAATAAAGAAATATTGGATTTGAAAAACACCTTAGATCACAAACAAACAATTTCATTCAATGGCAAATGAATACAAATTATTCTCAAGCACATCCAGAAAATTCTCCAGAATAGATCAATGTTAGGCTATAAAACACAGCTTATAAAATCCAAGAAGACTGACATTATATCAAGTTTTTTTTTTTTCTGACCACAATGGTATGAATCTAAAGATCAATGACAAAAGAAAGTTTGGAAAATTCAAACGTATGTGGAAATTAAGCATGTCTCTGAACATCCAATGGATTAATGAATAAATTAAAAGAGAAAGAAAGTAAAAATACATCTTTCAACAACAAAAAAAGTAGAAACGCAACATACCGAAACTTGTGGGATGCCACAAAAACAATTCTAAGAGGAAATTTTAGAGCAATAAACCTCTAAGCCCAATAACAGCAGAAGAAACAAAATGATAGAAATCAGGGTAGCAATGAATGAAATAGAGACTATAAATAATACAAAATATCAAAGAAAGTAAGAATTGCTTGCTGAAAACATAAACAAAATGGACACACCTTGAGCTAGACTGACTAAAAAAATAAAGAGAATAACTGATTTTCCACAAAGATGCTGAGTTACACACATTGGGCAAAGGAGAGTTTCTTTAACAAATGGTACTGGAAAAACTAGGTACCCCTCAACAGAAGAATGAAATTGGGCCCTATCTCACAATATTTATAAAAAGTAAACTAAAAACTGATTAAATGCTTAAACACAGGATCTGAATCTGTAAGAGACCGCTGGAAGAAAATAGAAGAGGAGAAACTATAAGACACTGGTCTGAGTGATGATTTTTTAAAAAATTTGACTCCTCACATGTAGGAAACAAAATTAAAAATTGACAAATGAGATTACATCAATGTAAAAAGCTTCTAAACATCAAAGAAAATTATTGGCAGAGGGAAGAGACAAGCTATGAATTGGCATAAAATATTTCTATGTCATACATCTGTTAATATCAAAACTATGTAAGAAACTCAAACAACTCTAAGCAAGAAAAAACTCTTCAATTAAAAAATGGGCAAGGAACCTGAATAGAAATGTATTAAAAGAAGTCATACAAATGGCCAACAGATATATAAAGAAGTGCTCAACATTATCAATAATTAGAGAAATGCAAATCAAAACTGCAATGAGCCTTTGTGTCCTATTAGCTTAGCTCCCATGTATAAGTGAGAAAATATGGTATTTGGGTTTTTATTTCTGTTACTTTACTGAGAATATTGGTCTCCAACTCCATCTAGGTTGCATAAATGCCATTATTTTGTTACATTTTATGACTCAGCAGTATTCCTTCGTGTATATATACCACATTTTCTTTATCTACTTGTTAGTTGATGAGCATTTAGGCTGGTTCCATATTTTTGCAATTGCGAATTGTGCTGCTATAAATATGTGTCTGCATGTATCTTTTTCATATAATGACTTATTTTCCTCTGAGTAGATACTTATTAATGGGATTGCTGGATCAAAAATTCTACTTTTAGTTCTTTAAGGAATCTCCATATTGATTACTATAGTGATTGTACTAGTTCACATTCCCACCAGCAGTGTAAAAGTGTTCTCTTTTCACCACGTCCATGACAACATCCATTATTTTTTTGATTTTTTAATTATGCTCACTCTTGCAGGAGTAAGGTGGTATCTCATTGTGGCTTTAGTTGGCATATTCCCAATAATTAATGATGTTGAGCATTTTTTTATATGTTTGTTAGCCACTTGTATATCTTCTTCTGAGAATTGTCTATACTTAGCCGACTTTTTGATGGGATTATTGTTTTTTTTTCTGATTTGTCTGAATTCCTAGCAGATTCTGGATATAAGTTTTTGCTAAGATGCATAGTTTGTGAATATTCTCTCCCATTCTGTGGGTTGTCTGTCTACTCTGATGGTTGTTTTACTGCACAGAAGCTTTTTAGTTTAATTAGGTCTCATCTATTTATTTTTGTTTTATTGCATTTGCTTTTGAGTCTTTGGTCATGAACTCTTTGCCTAAGCCAACATCTAGAAGAGTTTTACTGATGTTGTCTTCTAGAATTTTTATGGTTTCAGGTCTTAGATTTAAGTAATGTACATCTTGAAATCTGTAAGAGACTAAATTTTAAATGTTCTCACAACAGAACAATAAGTATTTGAAGTGATCAATATGTTAATTAGCTTGATTTAATTATCTCATATTGTATTCGTACATCATAACACCACTTTTACTTCATAAATATCTACAAGTATAATTTGTCAATTTATAATTAAAAATAGTCGTAAATATAATAAATTTGAATTAAGTTAAATAAAGGAAAGTTCCAAGGCTACTCAATATAAAGTGGTTTATATCTTCTAAAATCATATAATCTTCAAGTAATATCATATAAATATTATTTTCTATAAAATGTTAAAATAAATACTGTAATATTTTTAAACTATTAAATAATATGTAACCCACCCCAACCTCAGCAATCTAGAAATAGAGAATTACCATAAACTGATACAGAACATCTATAAAAATCCTCAAGCCTACATCATATTTAGGAGTAAAGAGCTGAATGTTTTCCTCCGCGCAAAGTTGGCCTGTTTCTTATTCAGCTACTCTTATTCAACAGTATTGAGAATTTTAGCCACTTCAATGAGGCAAGAAGAAAAAAAAAAATAGCCTATTCATTAGAAAGGCAGACATATCGTTATCTTTATTTATAGATGTTATGGATTGTCTATATAGAAAACTATATAAAATTTAGGTTAAAAAATAGCTCCTAGACCTAAGTAAGATCAGCAAAGTCTTAGGATACAAGATAAATCCACAAAAATCAATCACAGTTAACTAACATTTAAGGAAATTAAATTTTAAACAAACATTGGTTGCAATAACAAAATAAAATGTGACTCATTTATATACTTAAAAAAACATGAAATTTATAAAATGCATATTAAAAGATCAGAAAACAAAATAAATGCAGAGATCTACCATTTTCATAGATTGGAATCATCAGCACATTAAATACACTAATTCATCCCAAATTGATGCAGAGGTCACACCTTATATAAAAATTATCTCAAAATTGACCATGGCCTTAAATTAAACAAACAAAGAAACAAATAAAAATGATTAAACTTTTGGTGAAAAAATGAGGAACACATCAGGATATAAGGCTAGGCAAATAATTTTTAGACTTAATTTCAAAAACACAATCTATTAAAGGAAAAATTGATAAATCAGATTGATGTGGTTTGGATTTGTGTCCCCACCCAAATATCATGTCAAGTTGTAATCCCTAATGTTGAAACAGGGGCCTGGTGGGAGGTGATTGAATCATGGGGGCAGATTTCTCCCATGCTCTTCTCATGATAGTGAGTGAGTGCTCATGAGATCTGGTTATTTAAATGCGTGTAGCACCTCCACTTTTCTCTCTCTTCCTCCTGCTTCGGCCATGGAAGACCTGCCTGCCTCCCCTTCACTTTCTGTCACGATTGAAATTTTTCTGAGACCTCGCCAGCCATGCTGCCTGTACAGCCTGCAGAAACGTGAGCCAATTAAATCTCTTTTCTTTATAAATTCTTAGATATTTTTCTATAGCAGTGCCAGAATGAACTCATACACAGATCTTTCCAGAGTTAAAAATAGTTCTTTGAAAATTCATGGAAATAGGATTAAGAAGACAAGTTACAGACTTAGAGAATACATTTTTGATCCACATACTGACACAAGACTAGTATTTAGAATATACAAGAACTCTCAAAACTCAACAACAAGGTAAAATTTAATTAGAAAATTGACAGAAGATACAAACAGATATTTCACCAAAGACTATATATACAGGTTGCAAATTAACTTATGAAAACATGTTTAAAATAATTAACCATTAAAAAATGTAAATTAAACACAATTTGATGCCACTAAACAGAATGGTTAAATTAAAAGATATATCATGACAGAACAAAACTCTACAAGGTTGTGAAGAAACTGAGTCATTCAGACATTGCTGGTGGAAATATACAATGATGTAGCCTCTATGAAAACAGTTTGGCAGTTTCTTACGAGGGTAAAGGTGCAATATCCCCGTGACAACAATTGCACTTCAGGGTATTTATCACAAATATATTAAAACTTAAATTCACCCAAAAATCGGCATGTGAATGTACAAATCAGCATTACTTGTAATAGCCCAAAACTGGAGAAAGGTAAAATATTTCTCAAAGATGAAAAATTAATGAACTCTGATACATATATACCATGGGACATTATTCAGTTTGTAAAGAGGGAATAAACAATTGATACCTGAAAAAACTTGGATGAATTTCCAGGTATTTATTTGAGTCCCTGCATTCATTAACATTCATTCATGCTGAATGAGAGAAGTCAACTTCAAAAAACATACACTATATAGGTCCATTTTTGCGGTACTTTTGAAATACCAATATTTGAGAAATAAAGAAGAGATTAGTCGCTTGCCAGGAGTTAGAGATGAAGGCCTAGAGCAAAGTGAGGATGGTTATAAAACAACAGCAAGAGGTATCCTTGTGGTGCTTGAACTTTTCACTATCTTGACTGTGGTGGTACACGCATGAACTTACTCAAGTTATAAGATTGTACAGAGCATACACATACACACACACATGCACATACACACACATAATTGCATAAGTACAAGTAAAACTGGAAATTTTAAATAAGGAAAATATAGTGTATCAATGTCAATATCCTCTTTTTGATATTACACTATGATTTTGTAAAATGCTATTACTGGGGAAAATTGGGCAACTTGCAAAAGAGATTATTTGAACTAACAATATTTAGAGACAAACTGGGTAAAAAGTGTAGAGTTTCATTTTCAGGCATATATAAAGCAACCTTCTTCTCCCAGAAATATCATTAGTTCTTTTTATAATCACAAGAGTAGATTCAAATATCAAAATTGTTTAAAATAGTACTCACACATGCATATGTGTACAAAATTTGTACCATATTTAACACTAGTAGCACAATATAAATACTCTTTATATCTTAACATTTTTATTTAAATGTTTTATGTTTATATTCCATTAATATATGAAGAATTTCCTTATTATTTTAGATGTCTGCATAATATTCTATCTCATGGCTATTCCACAATTTATTTAGCTATATTTTTGTTTAATATTTTTCTCTTAAAAATGCTTCAGCAAATGACCTTGTGTAATTTATTTTATGCTTACATCAAGTGTGTCTGGAATACAAATTTTTAGAAATAAGATGGCTTCATTGAAAGATACGTGCTTATATAGTTTGCTTAAGTATAGCTATAGTATGCTTAGAAGTTGGATCAGTCTATACTATCACCAAATATACATGAATGCTTTCATTTTTCTAATATTTTTGCCAAAACAATGTGAAATTAAACTTTCTTATGTTTGCAAATCTAACAGGAGAGAAAAATGGGGTCTAGTTATATAAACAACTCTGTATGGCTTGTGGTTGGGTATTAGCTAGCTTTGTTTATTTGTTTCTTTGCTTTTTTTAAAATTTAGTGGTCCTTAATGATTCTTCCAACTAACAATGGATTGGCAATTCAAGTATCATTATGAAAATCCTTGTAACTTGATATGGTTTGGATCTGTGTTCCCACACAAATCCCATGCTGAAATGTAATCCCTAGTGTGGGAGGTGAGGCCTGGTGGAGGTGATTGGATTATAGGGACAGTGTCTAATGGATGGTTTAGCACCACCCTCCCAGTGCTGTTCTCATGATAAGAGTTCTCAGAAGGTCTCATTGTTTAACAGATTATGGCACCTCACTCCATCCTCTTCCTGCTGCTCTAGCCATGTGATGTGCCAGTTTCACTTCCTGCCATGATTGTAAGTTTCCTTAGGCCTCCCAAGAAGTGCAGCAGAAGCCAGTATGCTTCCTGTACAGCCTGCAGAACCATAGCCAATTAATCCTCTTTTCTGTGTAAATTACCCAGTCTCAGGTATTGCTTTATAGCACTGCAAGATCTGATATGTAAGTTGTTTAAATATAGGAGTAAAGAGTTTATATAATATTCTTATAAGAAGTTCAAAAATTTACAGTCTGCAGATCAACAACGGAATAATAAATCATATTTGTCAATATAAATAGTGATCCATCTGTAAAAAATAATATTTCTTTCTCTGGATAGAACGAAATTGTTAATATGAATCTTTATTTTCTATTATTATGATTCTATTTATCTATATTTTTTAAAATGTGGGCTAGACTCCAACTAGTTTTAGAGTTTAGTCTTTAGAATGCACCATTTCTATGTACATTTCTTTACTAAATACTCTGAAAAGAGAGTAGGCTTACACCTATGTAAATAATTTGGCATTTATATAAATTTGGAGATTTATTTCAATTTTTAAATTATTAAAAATTTTAAGAGGACAATAAGGAAAATTATTTGGAGCTTTTGCCAACACTTAGAGGTGAAGATACTAACATTAATAACTAAGGGTTGAAAGGCAACACAATGAAATGATAATCATGACAATAACTATATTTGAAATTTCTTGATTATTTGTAATCTAAAGAAATCATTTGCCTTTTACAATATACTGTCCTATAAACTGCTATAACGTGGCAGTCAATATTTTAGTGGAGCGTGAATACTACGGAGTAGCATCACATCACTGTATGTCACCATGGATAAGATACATTGCAAATCTAATTGGCTATGTCACTAACATCATCTGTTCTACTTGTTTCCAGAGAATTTATTTGTGACCACTTTTACCTAATAGACAGTCTGTTTACTTATGAAGAAAACATGTGAAAAAAAGTAAATGCCACAAAATGTTGGAAATATGTCTTGTACTCTTGTCTCCATGTGGGTTAAGAAATGTCTATATGCTTGACAAAAATTTGCAACCAACATGAAAAAAAAGTCTTTCAGTCAACTGGTGAGTTGACTATATTCTTTCTCATCCATATAGCAACTAAACTAGGTGTAGGACCACAGGAAGACATACTTTCTTTGATAGTCAGCACTGATTTAAGGTAGAATACATTTTTAATGGACTAGTATAATTTGTCTTTAAAACATTTCACTAACAACCTAAAAAACTTTTACTTTTAGTGTAAGCAACTGAGAGTAAATACGGTTAATAGAACAATAGTTATAAAAACAAATTTTGCAAGTAGACTATGCTTTGATGTACACTGAAACATTTACATAGTTTTATCTTTACTGAAACAATTTTATGTACTATTATTAAACAAGAAAATTTAGCATAACATTTACAATTTATTTCAGTTTTATTTAAACTAAGTGTTGAGAAATCAATACATTTATATGAAGAGAAGAAAACGTAGGTTTTAAATTGATTTTGACTAATACACACACACACAAACACACACACATACAACCCATGTATGTTAATATAATTATTCATTTTTTTATAGCATGACAAATTTTAAATGTAATAGTCTAAAATTTAATATTGGGAATTTGCTCAGTAGTAGTAGAAATGAGGATCACATGTGAAAATTGACAATCAGTGTTAATCATTTAAAGCTCAAAACTATTTGAAAAGTATGTTCAAAACTTGGCTAGACTATTTTAATTATTTCAATGAGAGTTTCTTAAGCACTTGACAAAGATCATGTACTTCTTGTTAAAGTCTTTAGCTCCAACACCTTAAGCAATGTCAGAATGCCAGAAGTCAGAAGAAAAATACAAGTCTATACATTTATGAGATAAAAGTCTGGCAAAAGACAATATGCAAATGCTGCACAGAGGCTATAAAGAATTTGAAATTGCCCCCCCACCTTTCTCATACATCTCTTTCTTTAGCACCTCTCCCTAACTTACCAAAGGCCTGATCCTCTCTTACATTCAGAAGATTTTTCAGTGGGAGCCTAATTATGAAAACCCACTGAGATTATCAACATTCCATTTGCACTCCCTGCCTCCTCTTTGTTTCAACGCAAAGTAACTCTCAATTCTAAATGTTGCAATTCTGAATCGGTGAAATCACTTTTTGAGAGATCCAAACAAATTAGACCCGGGAGAACATGAGGCAAGAGGGCTCACACATATATGCCTAAGATAAAGACTGTCTCAAGGACTTTCTAAAACAATCCCATGATAATTTTGTTCTTAAATTCAGAGAAAATGGATATATGGCTTGCAATAGTTATACATTTTAGGTTATAATTATCGTTTGTAATTCCCAAGTAAATTCAACGTATTTGGAAATTTTTGTGTGTGACTTTCTTGGCTGACATGCCTTGGGTTAAATGACTTGGGGCTATCTCTGATTGGACTGCCTCTTCTACACTGTAAATATGAGTAATTAAATAAGTTTTCCATATGCTGTAAATGCTGAGACATCCCTCTGTTACAAAAGAGAGAAGAACCTAGGTTTCCCATTCCACATGATAGTATCATTTTGCATATAAACTTTATCACTCAAAAGGTACTCTGGTCATCTTCAAAAATAAATTTAAATCTCCAAAATAAAAATCTGTTATTTTTAGATGCATATATGCTACTGATAGAGATGTCTTTCAGAATGTTTAGTAAAAATGAAGACTTCTGAGCCTCACTTTAGAACCACAGAATTGGAATCTCTGAGACTGTGTAGCAGAGACATTATTAGCATATTATTAACAATCAATCTGAGTGATTTATTTGAAGATTACTGATTTGGAGTAGAGTCTCCCAAAATGTGGAAACTCAAGTTTAAAATAGGTTATACAGGACAAGCATTGATTTTACTAGTTTTGAATATTAATAACATTAATTATAGGAAACAACTAATGCATTCATTTTATTTGGCAGAAGTGTTCTAAATGTTTTACATATTTTGTAACAAAGAAAATGTAACCTCAGATCTCTGATTGTGAGGAGTGTAATTAACTAATGATCTCAGATATTGCATTCCATAATTAATTATCACAAATATGAAAAGCTTCACTTCTACAGGCTTCTCCCAGGCAATGACTGATGGTGGCAAGAATAGTAAAGTAGGTCTAGAGAGATGCAGGACACCTCTAATGAGTGAACTGGGCTTTAGCACTCCCCGTTTACATTGCGAAAACATTCTTAGTACCAATAGTCTAAAATATTTCCTACCAATATGTTCCACCTTTCTTCTCTCCTTCAAAAATCTTAGACTTACATTGAAGTCTGACAACATTCCTAGGATTTTTGGCTCTCTCTCCATTTTTTTCTTGCACATATAATACCTTTTTGGCATTAACTTCTTGGAGAACCCAATTAATTTTATTCTAAAATATGCTGATGAAAAAAGATGCCATAGTATCTCTATTTTATAGACTAGATATCTACTACTACTACAAAAAGAAAACTTATTCAAAGTTAAAGATTTAGTAATTGGGAGAGAAGATATTCAAACTTAAATTATTTAGCTTTGAACTTTATGCCCTTAAAGAATATGGTACATTACAATAACTATTTGTCAGTTAAAATTAAGAAAAATAAAATAAAAAAGAATATGCTATACTATATTGTTTTGGTGAATATTAAAATATGAAATAACTATGTAATATGACTGAATTTAAATTTTAGCAATGACATAATATTTTCTTTTAAAATAATTATTTAAGGAAATTAATAAAGAAAAAATAGCTAGTGGCTAATTATACAGGCATATTTGATGGATATGAAAACAATTGTGAAGAGCCCATAAATGATTGTGTTTTGAAAATTAGACTTTGGAAGATAAATATATATATTTTAATACTAACGAATATTTTATGGAGTTATACTTCTATTAATGACAGAGTAACTTGTATATGATAATTATAAAATATTTAAAAAGTGATTTAAAGCATTGGAGAGTAACTCAATTGGGCAAATTATAAAGGGGATTCAATACTTGGAAGGGAAAAACAGCACTGGGATTTTTATCTGACAGCAAGCCCAAATCAATGTTTCAAGTATTATCTAGAACAACAACAAAAAATTAGTCTAACTGGCATGAAGTATCATAACTCAGAATTCAGGGAGACCACAGCATCTGCTAAAAGAGAAGTAGTCCTAGAAAAGAGAGAATCGGATTAGTTGTCTTACACTCTGGGTACAAATCTACCTAAATTTTGAAGTGCCCCCTAAAATAATGTGTTCAAATATTAACAGTAAAACTACTGTATTTTAACATGTAATGTGAGAAATAAATCACAAATTTTTTGAAAGGATAACATTAACCTAAAATTTAACTACCCAAGAAAAGGAGGTCTCATTTTAAATCTGATGAAATTAGCTGTGTACTATAACAAAGGAATAAACAAACAGGCATACAACTCTGGAGAAATAAGACAGAATCCGAGGTCTTAACAACAAAGAACATCTGTAATATTCAGAATACAATCCAGCAATATGTGGCATACAAATAACCAAGAAAATTTGACCCTTTGTCAGGAGAAAACAATGATTAATAGAGTTGAAGAATTAGAAAATATATAGGTGGGAATTGAACAATGAGAACACTTGGACACAGGAAGGGGAACATCACACTCTGTGGACTGTTGTGGGGTGGGGGGAGGGGGGAGGGATAGCATTAGGAGACACACCTAATGTAAATGACGAGTTAATGGGTGCAGCACACCAGCATGGCACATGTATACATATGTAACAAACCTGCACGTTGTGCACATGTACCCTAGAACTTAAAGTATAATAAAAAAAAGAAAATATATCAGGAAAATTTATCTATTAGTAATTGGAAAAATAGAGGTTAGAAATACTGAAAAGAAATGAACAGAGTTTTTAGAGGTCTGTGGAAAAACATCAAAATATCTAAAATATGTGTATTTTATTTTTAAAAAGGGAAGAGAAAATGTAGTGGAAAAAATACTTTCAGTTTCTTGAAAGTAATATATTTACAAATTCAAGAAGTTCAACAAACACTAATCAAAACAAAACTAATAAAAACTATGCCTAGGTACATCATCATCAAACTGCTAAAAAACAAAGATAAATAGAAAATTTTAAAAGTAACCAGGGAGGAAGAAAGAAACAGGGACACATTACATATGGAGTAACAATGATTTAAGTGACTGTTGACTTATTGTCCAAAACTGTGTTTGCAAGAAATGAAGCAATATCTTTATACTTTTAAAGGGAAAAAAATCAAAATGCAATTCTATATCATTGACAAATATAATTTAATAAAGATGGCATAAAAAGACATATTCTCACAAAAATAAAACCAAGAATGTGTTAGCAGCAGACCTGCACTAATGGCAATGTTAACTGAATGGAAATAAATATGAAATGGATAAACTCAATATAGGAAGAAAAGACTAGCATTTGTGTTTATGTATTTATCCTGTTTTCTTTTAAATATATATGATTAAGTTAAAAATGTAGCCTTGAATTGTGGAATCTGTAACACATTTAGATTCAATGCATACAAAATAGGGTAAATGTAATTAAAAGGTTTCATATGTTCTTCATTATAGGTGATACAGCACATTATTAACTCTAAGTAGAATGAAAAGTTTTAGTGATGGATATTGTAATCCATGAGAAATCTCTACATACAATGGAAATAATTATAGTTATAAATCCAATAAATCTCAGAGAAAAAAACTTATGTTCACACAAATATTTATACACGTGTTCACAAAATTTTATTTAGATTAACCTCAAAGTGGAAATAACCCAGATGTCTTTTGATAGTTGAATTTTTAAACAAACTGAAATTCATCCATGCAACAGAATATGACTCAGTATTAACAAGGAAATTACTATTGATACTTTAAAATGTTTATTCTCTAGAGAATTACATTGAATGAAAAAAAAAAAACCTCCAAAAGGTCACATACTGCAAGATCCATGTATAACACTCCTGAAATGATAAAATCATAAAAATAGAGAAGAAAGAGAGAACAAATCAGTGATTGACAGAAGTCAGGAATATGAGAGGATGGTAAAAGGGATGTTTAGCTTTAAAAAACTAACCAGGAAAATCTTTGATAATGGAACTGTTTGGTATTTTGACTGACTGTATCAATATTAATATCTTGATTTTAATATTGTAGTGTAGTTTGTAGTATGCTATAATTTTGGGAAAATGAAAAGAGTACAAAGAACTTTTGTATTATTTATCAAACTATACATGAATAAGTATTTACCTCAAAATAAAAAATTTAGTTGAAAATTTTAAAAGCATAAACTCGCACTCTCGAAAAAATAAACCAACAGATGAATTTAAATAAAATTCTACAAACAAAATCTGCTAACTTCAGAACAGGCAGAAATGAAGAAAAGGAGAAATAAAAGTTAGTTGAGACAAAATGACAGACCTAAATTCAACTGCATATCTATATTGATTATAAAGGGACTGCAAAGGGTATAAAGATCAGAAAGCAAGAAGTAAAATTGTCTGTATTTGCAAAGAGATTTTTTAAAAGAAAAATCCTATGTAATCAGCAAAACAAATACTAGAGTTCATGAATAGGAATAGAAGCACAGAGTCATAAGATGAATTTATGACCTTACAAAGCTATTTTGAAACATTGTCTAAACTGGTTGTACAAATTAAAATCTCATGAGCAATATATAGCAAACAAAATATCTTATCAATCTAATGCTTTCAAAACATTGACATTTTAAAAACTTCGAAATTCTATCACTTAAATGAATGAGGAGGAAATATTTTATTATGGTTTTAATAATATGGGAAGTATTTTACGATATCAATAATTTTGCATTTGCTTGATTCCTAGTGAGGTTGATCTGCTCTTTGCATTCTTATTAGCCCTAAGTGTTTCTTTCTCTGAAGTGAGACGTGTTCCTGTATTTCACCTACTCAGAAAAATTTGATACTTACTTATTACCAAGAACGGGATACACTTTTATAGAAATTATATATATATTTTAGAAAATATTCACACTCCAATTTTTATATTCATTTTCAGATTTCTTATCATATTAGACTTGTTAATATAATGTTGAAGTGTTTTTTTTTACCTCTGCTTTCACCACGCTCTGTTTTAGCTATAATTACAAAGACAGTAATAATGAGTCTCCCAATATGACACTGAATACAGTTTTAACTATTTTGTTCTATATGTTTTGAATTTGATTTTTTAGATACATAACTATTTTAAATTGCTTAATCTTCCCAAAGAACTGGCCTTTCTGTTATTATATAGTGATCCTTTTAATTAATGCTTCTTTTCATCTTAAACCATATAAATACCAAATATTTTTATCATTTGCTTAATGTAAGCTATAGCCTGAATTGTGACCCCAAAATTTCATATGTTAATATCCTGATCTCCATTGTAATGGTAGGTGCCTTTCTTCAGATGTAATTAGGAAATAAAATGTAGCAGAGCCTCATGTAAGACAGGACGAGGGCTGTCACCAGACACTGAATTTGCCATGATCTGGGACTTCCTAGCCTCCAGAACTGTGAGAAATAAATTAGTCTATTGTTTAAGCGACTCAGTCTGTAATATTTTGTTATGGCAGCCTGAGCTGACTAAGATAATATATTTTTTAATTCATTTGTTTTCAACACTTTTGTGTCTCTACAATCCCCAATAGCCAACTTGGATTTGCTGAAGATCAGTTGGCTGGAAGTATTTGGGTTTACTTACGGGTTCTCTATTCTGTTCCATCAGTATATGTGCCTATATTTATACCAGTACCATGCTGTTTTGGTTACTATAGACTTAGAGTATAGTTTGAAATCAGGTAGTGTGATGCCTCCAGATTTGTTCTTTTCACTTAGTCTTGCTTTGGGTATGCGGGCTCTTTTTTTCGTTCCATGTGAATTTTAGAATTGTTTTTTTTCTAATTCTGTGAAGAATGATGGTGGTATTTTGATGGGGATTGCATTGAATTTGTAGATTCCTTTTGGCAGTATGGTCATTTTCACAATATTGATTCCACCCACCCATGATCATGGGATGTGTTTCCATTTGTTTGTGTTGTTTATGATTTGTTTCAGCAGTGTTTTGTAGTTTTCCTTGTAGAGGTCTTTTGACTCCATTGTTAGGTATATTCCTAAGTATTTTTTTTTTTTTTTGCAGCTATTGTAAAAGGGGTTGAGTTCTTGATTAGATTCTCTTCTTGGTTGCTGTTGGTGTAGAGACGAGCCACTAATTTGTGTACATTAATCTTGTATGTGGAAACTTTACTGAATTCTTTTATCAGTTCTAGGAGCTTTCTGGAGGAATCTTTAGGGTTCTCAAGTTAAATGATCATACTGCCAGCAAACAGTTACAGTCTTACTTCCTCTTTATTGATTTGTATGTCCTTTATTTCTTTCTCTTGTCTGATTGCTCTGGCTATTACTTCCACTACTATGTTGAAGAGGAGTGGTGAGAGTTAGCACCCTTGTCTTCTTCCAGTTCTCAGAGGGAATGCTTTCAGCTTTTCTCCATTCAGCATTATGTTGGCTGTGGGTTTGTCATAGGTGGCTTTTATTACATTGAGGTATGACCCTTGTATGCTGATTTTGCTGAGAGTTGTAATCATAAAGCAATGTTGGATTTTGTTAAATGATTTTTCCGCATCTATTAAGATGATCATGTGATTTTTGTTTTTAATTCTGTTTATGTGGTGTTTCACATTTATTGAGCTTCTTATGTTAAACCAACCCTGAATTCCTAGTATAAAATGAACTTAATCATGGTGGATTATCTTTCTGATATGTTGTTGGATTCGGTTAGCTAACAGTTTGTTAAGGATTTTAGCATCTATGTTCATCAAGGATATTGGTCTGTAGTTTTCTTTTTTGGATATGTCCTTTCCTGATTTTGGTATTAGGGTGTTGCTGTTTTCATAGAATGAATTAGGGAGGGTTCCTACTTTCTCTAACTTGTGGAATAGTGTCAAAAGTATTGGTATCAATTCTTCTTTGAATATCTGATAGAATTCTGCTGTGAATCCATCTGGTCCTGTATGTTTTTTGTTGGTAACTTTTTAATTACCATTTCAATCTTGCTGTTTGTTATTGGTCTGTTCAGGGTATCTAATTCTTCCTGATTTAAGCTAGGAGGGTTGTGTTTTTCCAGCAATTTATCCATCTCTTCTAGGTTTTCTAATTTATGTGCATAAAGGTGTTCATAGTAGCCTTGAATAATCTTTGGTATTTCAGAGGCGTCAGTTGTAACATCTCCTGTTTCATTTCTTAGTGAGGTTATTTGGATTTTTCTCTCTTCTCTTCTTGTTTAATCTTGCTAATGGTATATCAGTTTTATTTATCTTTTCAAAGAATCAGCCTTTTGTTTCATTTACCTTTGTTTTTTTGTTTTTGTTTTTGTTTTTTTAAATTTCATTTAGTTTTGCTCTGATCTTGGTTATTTCCTTTATTCTGTGGGATTTGGGTTTAGTTTGTTCTTGTTTCTCCAGTTCCTTGAGGTGTGATCTTAGAACGTCTGTTTATCCTCTTTCAGTCTTTTTGATGTAGTCATGTAGGGCTATGGACTCTCCTCTTAGCACCACCTTTGCTGCATCCCAGAGCTTTTGGTAGGTTTTGTCATTATTGTCGTTTAGTTCAAATAATTTTTCAATTTTCATCTTGATTTTATTTTTGACCCAATGCTAATTCAGGAGGATGTTATTTAATTTCCACATATTTACATGGTTTTGAAGGTTTCTTTTGGAGTTGACTTTCAGTTTTATTCCACTGTGGTCTGAGAGAGTGCTTGATAAAATTTCAATTTTCTTAAATTTACTGAGGCTTTTTTATGGCCTATCATATGGTCTATCTTGGAGAAAGTTCCATTTGCTGTTGAATAGAATGTGTATTCTGTGGTTGTTGGATGAAATGTTCTGCATATATCTGTTAAGTCCATTTGTTCCAACGTATAGTTTAAATTCATTGTTTCTTTGTTGACTTTCTGTCTTGATGACCTGTCTAGTGCTGTCAGTGGAAGCCCCCCATTATTATTATGTTGCTGTCTATTTCATTTCTTAGGTATATTTGTAGTTGCTTTATAAATATGGGAGCTCCAGCATTAGGTGCATATATGTTTAGGTTTGTGATATCTTCCTGTTGGACAAGGCCTTTTACCATTACATAATGTCCTTCTTTGTCTCTTTTAACTGCTGTTGCTTTAAAGTTTGTTTTGTCTGACATAAAAATAGCTATTCGTGCTTGCTTTTGGTGTCCATTTGCATGAAATGTCTTTTTCCACCACTTTACTCTAAGTTTATGTGAGTCCTTATGTGTCAGGTGAGCTTCTTGAAGGCAGCAGATGCTTGGTGAGTTCTTATCCATTTTGCGGTTCTGTATCTTCTAAGTGGAGCATTTAGGCCATTTACATTCAATGTTAGTACTGAAATGTGAGGTACTATTGCATTCATCGTGCTATTCATTGCCTGTGTATTTTTTTTTTTTTTGCTTTTTAACTTGTATTTTTGTTTTATAGGTCCTGTATGATTTATGCTTTAAAGAGATGCTGTTTTGATGTGTTTCCAGAATTTGTTTCAATATTTAGAACTCCTTTTAGCAGTTCTTGTAGTGGTGGTTTGGTAGTGACAAATTCAGCATTTGTTTGTCTGAAAAAGACTGTATCTTTCCTTCCTTCATGTATGATGCTTAGTTTCCCTGGATACAAAATTATTTTCTGATTTTTGTTTGAGGAGGCTGAAGATAAAGCCCCAATCCCTTCTAGCTTGAAGGGTTTCTGCTGAGAAATCTGCTGTTAATCTGATAGGTTTTCTTTTATAGGTTACGTGGTGCTTGTGTCTCACAGCTCTTAAGATTCTTTCCTTTGTCTTACCTTTGGATAACCTGGTGACAATGTGCCTAGGTGATGATCTTTTTGTGATGAATTTCCCAGGTATTCTTTGTGCTTCTTGTATTTGGATGTCTACATCTCCGGCAAGGCTGGGGAAGTCAATTATTCCCCCAAATACGTTTTCCAAGCTTTTTAGAATTCTCTTCTTCCTTGGGAACACTGCTTATTTTCAGATTTGGTTGTTTAACATAATCCCAGGCTCCTTGGAGGCTTTGTTAATATTTTCTTCTTCTTTTTTCTTTGTCTTTGTTGTATTGGGTTAATTCAAACACCTTGTCTTAGAGCTCTGAATTCCTTTCTTCTACTTGTTCAATTGTATTACAGGGACTTTCCAGAGCATTTTGCATTTTTATAAATTTGTCCAATGTTTCCTGAATTTTTTGTTTATTTTTATTTTTATTTTTTCTGTAAGCTGTCTATTTCCTTAAATATTTCTCCCTTCACTTCTTGTATCATTTTTCGGATTTCCTTGCACTGGGCTTCACCTTTCTCTGGACTCCCTGATCAGCTTAATAACTAACCTCTTGAATTCTTTTTCAGGTAAATCAGGGATTTCTTCTTGGTTTGGATCTATTGCTGGTGAACTACTGTGATTTTGTGGGGGTGTTAAAGAGCCTTGTTTTGTCATATTACCAGGGTTGGTTTTCTGATTCCTCCTCATTTCGCTAGGCTCTCTCAGAGGAAAGGTCTAGGGCTGAAGGCTGTTGTTCAGATTATTTTGTTCCGTGAGGTGTTCCCCCTTTTCCTATGGATGTGATTTCCTGTGAGCCAAACTGCAGTGATTGTTGTCTCTCTTCTGGGTCTAGCTACCCAGCAAGTCCACCCAGCTCTGGGCTGGTACTGGGGATTGTCTGCACAGTCCTGTGATGTGAACCAACTATGGATCTTTCAGCCATGGATACCAGCGCCTGTTCCCGTGGAGGTGGCAGGGGTTGCAAATGGACTCCATGAGGGTTCTTAGCTTTGATGGTTTAATGCTGTATTCCTGTGCTTGTTGGCCTCCTGCCAGGAAGTGGCACTTCCCAGAGAGCATCAGCTGAAGTAGTGTGGAGAAGGGCCGGCAGTGGCTGGGGCCCTGGAACTCCCAAGATTATATGCCCTTTGTCTTCTGCTACCAGGACAGGTAGGGAAGGACCATCAGGTGGGGGCTGGACTAGATGTGCCTGAGCTCAGACTGTCATTGGGTGGGTCTTGTTGTGGCTGTTGTCGGGGATGGGGGAGAGATTCCCAGGTCACTGGAGTTGTGTACCTAGGAGGATTATGGCTGCCTCTGCTCAGTCATGTGTGTTGTCAGGGAAGTGGAGGAAAGCTGACAGTTACAGGTCACACTCAGCTCCCACACAAACCAAAGGGCCAGTCTCATTCCCACCATGTACCCGTGCAACAGCCCAGAGTCTGATTACAGCAAGCCTCCAGATGGATTGGTGCCAGGCAGGAATGGGCTGCTTAGGGACCCAGCAAGCTCCCAGGGCCTTTCTGCTGCTTCCTCTACCCCTGTATTTTGCTTGGCTGTCTAAATCGACTCAGCTCCAGGTAAAGTCAGAAACTTCTCCCTCAATTTCTCCAGTGGGGGCATGTGTTCAGGATAGCAGGCTCTCTCTTTCCCACTTCCACTGTTGGGGCACTCACAATATTTGGGGTGTCTCCCAGGTCCTACAGGAGCAGTCCCCTTCCTTCAGAGGGTCTGTGGGGCCTCTTGAGATTGTTTGTTTGTTCTTGCAGTTCTGGAGTTAAAATTCACCATGTGAGTCTTCACACACTGCTCTCTCTGGAGCTGCAATCTAGTCGTGTCTCCTGTCTGCCATGATTATCCTAGAGGTTCACGAATGTTCCTAAGAATTCATTACTTTTGGAATCTAGTTGTACTGGAGCAGTGACATTACACAGTTCTCTAAGTTACTCATATGCCCATAAGAAGAAGCAATCTAAACAACATAAAAATGACACCTCTAAATATTTTTATCCTACAAAAGCATGCATTAGATGACAAGTGAGTTATGTGAGTCTGTAATTAACATAAACTATTTTATTTTTGTTCTTTTTGGTGGGGAATAGAGATGAAGAAAACTAGGAAAGTAAGTGCTTTATGTAATTCATAGAGAATAGCACACAGATTTTTATTGGTGATGAGGTAACAGAATGAGAGTAGTAAGGGAGACAAGGGATTAACTTGCTGTGTGTCAGTTCCCAAATGAGTGTGCATTTACAGTTACAGTATGGGTCTTGACTATCTCAGTTCCCAGAATTCCCAGGTGTAATGCCTATGTCTGTTTTTTGTTTTTTTTTTTTTTCTTTCTTTCTCTTAAGCTGCCAGGGATCAGCTTGGTTTATGGTTCTGGCTTGGAATTTCTTCTCGTCTCTGATATTTGGGGTTCTAAAAGTTTTATTTCTATATCTATTATAACTTAACATGTTTCTGAATTTTGTTACATTTTATTTGGCATTTAATGTTGGAATTAGAACAGAATCACCTTAGTCTAAAATCTAGCAGAAATAAAGGTTATGTACACATATATAATTTTCATAATTATTATTTTAAAATCTGAACTTAAAATGCCAAACAAATTGTAATACTCGGTTCATAACACATTAAAATCTTAATTTTCCCTCTTATGCTATGCCTCCTACAATATGTACTAAATTATTAATTTTATAATGGCTTTAAGTTTATTATGCATATATATTTATTTAAACTAGGTAGTGATATTTTGGACCTGAATGTGTTTTAACTTAGTTAAGTTTTATTTTGCTATAGATTTCCTAATGCATTTTGCAAAAAAGCCCACACTTTTTAAGATTGATTTAAGTTGTTGCTGTATGTCTAGTTCAATGCTTTTGCCTGCTTATAGAATTCCTTTGTAAGTATTCAGTAAAATTGTCTCATCTATTATCCCTGTATTAAACACTGACCTCATTTTTCTAACTTTGCCTGTTTTCTAATAAATGCATATGAGCTATGTAATTTTAAGTTTTGCTTTAATGTGTCCCACCAATTTTGATTTATTTTATTTATTTTTCAGTGTTGGCTATTTTCCTTTCAATTTATATCAGTAGTCAACATTTTCTGTAAAGAGACAGATAATAAATATTTTTGGCTGTATTGGCCACATAGTCTCTGTTACAATTACTCCAGTCTTTCATTGTAGCATGAAAGCAATATAAAAATACATTAAAAGTGAGTGTGGTGAAATTTGGCACTTTGTGAGTACTATGGTCTGAATATGCCCCCAGATTCATGTGCTGGAAACCTAACTCCCAATGCAACAGTGTTGGGAGGTGGGGCTTTCTGGGAAGTGTTTACGTCATGAGGGCTTCCCTCTTGTGAATGGATTAATGCCTTTATAAAGTGGCTTGATGGAGGGAATTTTCCCCATTTTTTCCCTTCTACCTCTTGCCATTTGAGCACAGAGAGCACCTCTTTTCCAGAGGACAGCATTCAAGGCTCTAGTTTGGAAGCAGAGAGCAGCCCTAACCAAATGATAACATGTTGGCCTTGTACTATTTAGCCTCCAGAGCTGTGAGTAATAAATTTTTGTCCTTTATAAATTACTCAGTCTGTGATATATTGTTTTAGCAGCACAAACTGGATTAAGACAGTGGGCCACAATCTGTAGTCTGCCAATGCCCAAATTTCATTTTAAGCTAAACTAAGAAATTAAAATTAAAACTTAAATATCATTTTCCACCTTGTCCTAAATATGCACACCTCAGCATGTTCTGATCTTTTATTTATTTATTTGGTAGCTTTTACTCTTCTTCTTCCACCTCTTGCCACATAGGTGTTATCAAAAATGTAACCCCAGGCAAATATATACTGTTTATAGAAATGGATACTAATTGTTATTTTCCATAGTCTACAAAGTCTTTTTGCAATTATTTATTTTCTAAAAATTGTCTAATTTTTTTTTACATTCTGAAAACCTCTATGCCTACAATTATACTTACTGTGTGTTCACATTAAGTAATAGTTCAGCTGGGTGTAAAATCCTAGTTTAATATTATTTTCCTTCAAAATGCTAAACATATTATGCAATATTCTTTCTCTTGTGTGTTTCTAAAAAGTATGATGTAAACATGATTTTTTAATTATGTGTATGTTTCTCTTTCCTTCTATAGTAAGCAGAATAATGGTCCCTCAAATATGTCTTCACCCTAATTCTTGGAACCCATACATTTATATTACATGGTCAAAGATAAGTAAGGTTGTAGATGTAATAAAGGTTGTTAATCAGGTCACAGAGATGGAAAAATTTTTTTGAATCATATGGACAGGACCAAGTTAGATTCAAGGGTCCTTAAAAGTGGAAGAAGGAGGCAGAAGAGTAGGACAGGGTGCTTGGTGTGCAAATAACTTAATGTGCCATTACTGACCTTTTAGATGAAAGAAGTAGGCCACAAGCCAAGGAATGAGGATAGATTCTAGGAAAGCAAGAAAATGGATTACCCTAGGAGCCTAAAGAAGAACTGCAAATCCTACCAACACCCTGATTTTAGCTCGTGAAAACTTGTGTCAGATATCTGAACTCCAGAACTGTAAGGTAATAAATATGTGTTGTTTCATCTTACTAAGCTTGTAAGTGGTTACAGCAGCAATAGAAAATTAATATACCCTCCAATAATCTATTAGTTTTTCAGTCACTAACGTTAGGAAAATTTATTATGACATTTTTGTAAGGATATGTTCTCTTACCTGTCCAGTTGTGCAGTATGTAGTCACTTTCATATTAATATTTTTGTCCATGTGTGCTCAAATGTGTAGTTATAGTGAGGAAGAAGGAAAAAAATAATGTAACTGAATTGGTCAGACTGTCCAAATCTCTTATTATTCCCCCCTCTGTACAGCTGGGCTTTTCATACATTGTGGCATAACTCAGTTGATCATGGACACATCAGGATGGTGTTGCTATTTTTCTGTATTTTACTAGAATCTCAATGATCTTCCAATGGCATAATAGGGCATAATAAAGAGCAGAGGAAAGCTTAAAGCGAAACTATAAGAAATTATTATGTCAATATAAAGCAGGACATATAGGTAAGAAAAGCACAGCCCAGATTTGAGGCATAGTTGAGAAGTGTAAACCTGATGAATAAGCTAAAAGAGATTATTTGACTCTGGCCCTTTTCTTTTTAATCTAAGAATATCACACTTTCACTAAGACTCATGAAGAATTTAAGAAATATAAAATTTTATTTTTAGAATTGTCCTCATAGAGGAGTAAAAAGAGAGTTCAGCCCACTTTTTCAATATGTTCAGAATCAAATTAATGACAAATATGCCAATATAGAACATGCATCCAAGATGAATGTATCAGCGTTTATGCATCACCGAATTTTATTTTTGTTACCATTTCTTTATATAAATTTTTGATAAATCTTTGTTCACGTGTAAATTCAAAAAGCCCTTTTGGGCTGCTTTATTGACTACTTGAACACACTGGGGATACTATTATTAATGTGATGAAATCTGTGGCAGAATGTTTATGTCACATGCTGTCATCTACAGTGTCATAACCTAATGTGAAATTGATGAAGAGCCTCATGAACCTGTCAGCTAGATGCAGTTGCAATTTAATTTCCTCAGTCTTTTATCAATTATATCCCATTTACAACAAGAGAGTTGAGGTTTAAACAAGCTGACCTTTGAAAATATTTCATGTTTGACATCAATATTTTTTCACTGCTACAATTGAATTACATTATAAAGACAAAGATTGTAAAGGTACTGGCACTGCACGTTAAAATACATTATGAAACAGACTTATTGTAACAATGGCAAAAACATATTTACCTGAAATATTCTCTTTTCATCATTTGATCATTTGTGCTCCATATTCAAATGTGATACTAACATATATTATTCAAAACAGTGAACTAAAAATGTTATGAGAAACCTATACCCATTTGCACAAGTAGTATAAATATAACCCAGTAGGAAGTCAGAAATTGTGGATTTGTTTTTAAAGGCTAGGCACTTTGCTGCCTCTGTCTTTTGAATTCAATAGCTGTATGAGACTGTTATGAGCACTGGATAAGAAATCTGATTTTATGAAAAGTGATTACTTAATTGCCAGAGAGCTATGGCAGTGTACACAAATAATTGAGTAGTTAACAAAACTTTGTACCTCTGTTTTTAAAATTGAGGGCTCTGCATAAAATGAATTTAAAAACTAAAACATAATACAAACATTAAGTATATCACACAATCAGATTTTTCTAAATGAAACTTATTAAATGGGTTTTTGTGTATTCTTACTATTTCAGCATATAAAATGTGTTGTCTATTATGCACTGCAATAAAACATGTTTGAAGCCACAGATGTACAGTGCTCAGAATGCTGTTATTCACATCTAATTATTGTATATAACTGACTTTGGTATAGATTCCTTTGAAATCTTTATAATAATAATTAATATGTATTGAGCATCTACTGTATTACAAGGACATTGTTCTAGGCTAAACACAAATATATTCAACTTATTCTCAAAAATGTTATATGATAGATGACATTACATCCAATGAGGAAGAGAGCTTAAGTTAGTTGTCCAAATATGCATAATTTGGGTTATAATAATCCTTAAATCTTTAAGAGAAAACTAGGTGCATATGAGTTTTTAATGATTCAACCTTTATTGACAATTATCTATGATGTATATTAATAAGTAATATTGAAGAATCATTAAGAATATACATTACTTAGAAATAATTATGCAAGTGAAAGAAACCCAATTTTAAATAGATTGTGTGAAAGGAAATTTTATTACTTTATGCAATCAAGATAGCAGGTATATAATTAAAAACAACAGTAACCAAACTTGACTCTTTTGACCGCTTGTCACTTATGCAGATCTTGATCATTTTCTTTTAAAGATTTTCTGTCTTGTGGCTCTACCCACCAGCTTCTGTCTTTGAGCAGGGGTACTTTGCGAGGCCCAGTGAGACGGAGCGAATCTTCCCTCTGCTCTCATACTATATCCCATTGGACCATAGTTTGCAATGGTAGGGTTTATTAATTCTGATAAACAAGGGACACACAGTTGGAAAGGTTTGACTGGATCCTGGGGCAATGATCTTTTCTAATTTATCTGACTTTTTCTGTATACGTCTCTTTTTAGATAGTTCACTAACTTTAGCATGGAGCAATGAATTCAGTTTTTGGAATTTGGCAATTTATGATTTCCAGTCCTCAGCAGTCTTGGCTCACTGGAATCAGAAAGAATGGAGTTCCTTTTACTAAAGTGTTCTTCACTGAAATATGTTGAATAATACTATAAGAAGGGTAACCAGAATATTTCCATACTGATTTATTTTTAAACAGTGTTCCGAAGTCTCAGAAAGAGTTTATATGTGACTGAAATTCAAAGTACTACAGTAATTACTTAGTCAACTGATTTGTAACCCTGTTGCAAATGGACAAAGCAAATTTGATGATGTAAGCAGGTCTAAAACTTTCTACAACTTGTTCAGCATGTGTAAGGTAGTACCAGATCTCTACCTTTTTGTGCTCTTACCATAGTTTTCACAAAATATTCACCCAAAGTGTAACAAAGAAAAGCCTCTGTAAGCAATACTTCATAAAAGTGTCTTATAATTTCTACGAAAAGGGTATAAAAATCAGTGAGTTTTGTAGACATTTCCCATTTATATAATGTCTCAGGCAAGATAAGTTAATGGACTTCTTTAGTCAGCTTGGGCTGCCATAATAAATTACCATGGACTGGGTGGCTTAAACAACAGGAATTATTTTCTTAAGGTTCTGGAGGCTATAAGTCTAATACCTAGGTAACAGCTTGGTCAATTTCTGGTCAAGGCTCTCTTCCTTGGCTTGCAGATAGCTGCCTTCTTGTTTCCGCTCATGGAGGCACAAAGAGAAGAACAAGCTCTCTCTTTTCTCTTCTTATTAAGACACTAATCCCATCATGATAGTTTCAGCCTCATAACCGCATCTAAACCTAATTATCACCCAAAGGCCCCATTTTCAAATAACATCATACTGAGGGTTCAGGGCTTCACTATATGACTTTGGAGAGAGGGGCACATTCACTGCATAGCAGAACTAGAGTCTTATCATGCATTTAGGGGGACGTCTGGTTGGCTTATGTTGACTGCAAGAAACAGAATTTTGGACACTTCCTTTTGGAGGTACCCCATTACAGTGCATATCACAATGTCTGGCATGTAGAAGGCACTTAACTATATTGAATTTGGGAATGGATGAATGAACACCTCAAACTCAACATCTTTAAGGAATTATGGTGCAGTGGCTATGAATTTATATTCTGAAGCTGGACTTCCAAGAATTGAATTGGACCTTGCCACTTATTTGCTATATAATCGTTGGAAAGTTACTGAACTTATCTGTGCTTCAAATTTTTCAACTATAAAATGAAGATAACAATAGTATCTGTGAAAACAGGGCTTCTTAAGAGTTAACTATACTAATACAAAGTGAGTAAAATAGTGCCTAGTACATTGTAAGTCCTAAATATTCTTTAGTTGTTTAATATTTATTTTTGAAGTCCAGTTCATCATACTTAACAACATTTGCAGTCATTCACTTTCCTTAAATGTTCATGGCAGTCCCCGACATAGTCATCCACCCAGTTGTTCAAGCCACAAACTTTTCCCATTTCTTTCTCTTGCTCTTTTCATAATTTTCTTCTTTTTTCCCCCTTTTTTTCTTTTCTTTTCTTTTCTTTCTTCTCAGATTGAGTCTCACTCTTTTGCCCAGGCTGGAATGCAAGTGTTGCGAACTCAGCTCGCTGCAACCTCCACCTCCTGGGTTCAAGTGATTTTCCTGCCTCATCCTCCCAAGTGGCTGGAACTACAGGCATGCACCACTATGCCGAGCTAATTTTTGTATTTTTAGTAGAGATGGGGTTTCGCCATATTGGCTAGGGTGCCCTGGAACCCCTGACCTCAGGTGATCCACCCACCTTGGCCTCCCAAAGTAAGTGCTGGGATTACAGGCATGAGCCACCATGCATGGTCCCTTTTCATAATTTTTATGTATGCACATGTTTACTCATTCTCCAGATGCAAGCTAAAAAGTTTTCCTTTTTCCTTGCATAAATTATCTTGAGAAATTTTCACATCCTTGGATTTAGCCCCATATTCATAAGCATTTTTAACAAAAGTTATTATATTACTGTATTTCAATTCTTTTTGGTAAATGTATTTATTGCTTATCTCACAATATATATAGTAAATAATATAACAAATGCTTAATAAGTCTGTGTTGAAGTAATTGAACCAAAGACCACATTTTGAAAGAAAAATGAATGTGGCATGTAAAATCAATTTATATAGCAATATAACATTTTTATATGTGGGAGTGAAAGGGTGCAGAAATTTTCCTAAAAGTGGATGAATTCTGACAGAAATGTATATGTGTTTTAGGGAAGAGTGATGTGGTTAATGATCTATTTCTTTTTATACTTCTAATGGCTATAAAGCTCTTCTAAAAATACTTATTGAAGACTAAAGTTTTTCAATAAATAGATCCATAAGCGACTCAAGCCTCTTTGTCACTTTTATTTCTAGTAAGTGGCAAAATGACACTTTCTTTGATTTGGTTAGTTGTTTCTCCTAGCAACTCCCTAGGAGGTTAATGCGTTCTGAAATGCCCAAGTGGTCAGAGAAAGAAAAATAAGTAGGAAGAAAAAAGAAACCTGAAACTCATACCAAAAAAAAAAAAATGAATTATTTAAGTGAGCTGTATTTTAAAACTATGAAATTTTTATTAATATAAATAATTTTTATAAACTATATAGAAGAGATGAGAAGTACTTTTTTTTCCTGTGCAAAGGGAAAACTATATGGGCTCTTACAAGCTTGCTGACAGAATAAAAATTAAAATTAGCTTCCTCATTGGTAGACTGGATTTACACTACTTGACAAACTTGAAGATTAAATAAAGCAATATATAAAACCCTTAGCGTTTTATACATAACTTGGTTTGCTAAAATTTCACTTTAATTTAGTGCTAAAGATTTTCTAAGTACCATTATTGTTAAATTAGCCAAACCAGTTATCTATCCTTAAAATACAAATCAATTGTATTGACAATATGCATTTTAATGCTTTAAATATATTTACATGTATTTTATTATGTAAAAATTTAAAATATATGAAAATTTTACTATATAAAATTTAATATATACACACAGTATATATTATATAATATAAATATATATAATTCATTACTGTTTTGTAGAGAATTGCAGAAGCTAATAAATATAGGAATTTTGTTGTCAACCCAAACCTGCCCCTATTCTCTGACCCCTAAATTATATATAAGGTCCATAATCATTTTGTTATTATTATTGTACATCACAATATGGCTGATAATCGCAGTTGAGGGATTTGTTACTTGCCACAAATAATTTCACTGGTTACACCATTAAACAATTATTACTGATCTTAAGTGCCAGAACACTTTATATCAGCAAAACGTTCTGTTAAAATATGTTTAAACTTTTCATTTCCTTTATTTCTTCCACTTTTGTGTTTCTTTCCCAATTAGAAGTAATTCTGTTGAGAAACCTCAAGGTAGAATGCAAATGTTTATTAAATGTGTATTCAAACCCTGCAGTCATAGGTAAACTAGTGCAGTTCTCACACATTGCAGCTTGGCTAGTAGGTGGCTTTTTATTTGAAACTACTTTTCCTAGGGAATGACAAAAAATGAAGAAGTCAATGATCTGTAAATTTCAACTAAAATGTTGAAGATGATTTTGTAGATAAATACTTTTGATTATAGTCCACAATATCTAGAGTTCAACATCTGTTTAGCCAATGACCCTACATCTTGTTGTTCTTGTTATTGTTTTGTTGCATTGTTATTAAGGATTTTATGTAAACTTTCAAAAAGGTGGATATAAAGAAAAGAAAGCTTGATTTTTTTTATTTCTAATTCAACATACACAGAAGCCAACCAACCAAGAAAAAATGAGTAGAAACATGGATAGGCAGGAGAAGAAAAGAAAATAAAAAGCTCTCAGGTAAATTATTTTTATGCTAATTAATTTTATGAATTTTCTGTGATCAATAGCCACAATAGGATGGCTGTAGATAAAAATAAACACAAATCAATTACTTCTGCCCATTTGTGTATTATATTATTCTACTTTCTATGTTAAACTATTGTGATTAATTTCTCCTACCTTTTGTATTAGATTACTTAGTTGCCATCTGACAGCCACGATTTGAGGAGCCATAACTTATCAAAATGTGAGCAGAATTTCTCTAAGCATGCAAAGAGATTCACAAAATCACTTGTCTAATAGTCAAAATATGCAATTTGTTTATGGACTACGCTTTTAAAAATCATCAGAAAATAACAAAAAAGTGACAATTCAACATTTAAGTGGCATATAATGTTAACTATCGAAATAATTATTGTCTTTTTCAATTCTTTGGATTTTTTTGGAACTTTATAGACAACATAAGCAACACATTAAACTAAGTGAGCTTATGTTAAGTGCATACATTTTATTAAGCTGACGTTACAAAGTAATTGGTCCAGCCCTAAAAAGTATCCAAATTGATGTCACTTGAAAAGTAGGACATTCACAAAATGTATGATATGCCTTCTCATGCAGTCTGGTTTCACCTTTGGTATGAATTATTCAAAATAACAGCTATTTCAAAGGCAATTTATGATTGAAACTGGAAAATCTTAAGAGTACATATTTGTATCAAATTTAGTTTTCCTAGTAATGTTCCAGTTTAATTTTAATAAGAAATTTTAAAAAAGACTTTAAATATAATCCTACAGACATTGGGGATACAGAGATGTGTCCATGAGTAGGGCAAAATTGAAACAAAGGAAACTGTTTGTTTTTAATAGCTCTTTTAATCTGCCCCAACTTCCTTATCTCCTCATTCTCCCTCCCATTCCTTTTTTCACAACACAACTGAGTACTATCAGATTATGTAGACCATCTCTCCACATTAGTCAATAAGATGACCTTGTCCTATAAAAATGCCTGTCTAGTGTCAAAATTCCCTCGGATCCTGATAGCTGCTACTTGATGAGATACAGTATTGTCTCCTGAGATGTTTATAGGTCTTACTGTGTTAGCACATTGATATGGTTTAGCTGTATGTCCCCACCCAAATATCATGATGAATTGTAATCCTCAATGTTGGGGGAGGGCCCTGGTGGGAGGTGATTGGGTCATGGGGACAGTTTTCCCCTTGCTGTTCTTATAATAGTGAGTGAGTTCTCATGAGATCTGCTTGTTTAAAAGTGCTTAGCACTTCTCCCCTTGCTCTCTCTCTCTCTCCTGCTCCACCATGTGAAGTTTGTGCCTGCTTCCTCTTCACCTTCTGCCATTATTGTAAGTTTCCTGAGGCCTCCCATACAGTCTTTTTTATACAGCCTGTGAAACTGTGAGTCAATTAAAACACTTTTCTTCATAAATTTCTCAGTCTTATGTAGTTCTTTATAGCAGTGTGAGAATGGACTGATACAGAATTTGGTACTAGAGAAGTGGGGTATTGCTATAAAGATATCTGAAATGTGGACATGACTTTGGAACTGGGTAATGCGCAGAGATTGGAAAAGCTTGAAGGAATTAAAATAAGACAGGAATATGTGGGAATGTTTGGAACATCCTAGAGACTTGTTGAAGAGTTGTGATCGAAATGCTGATAGTGATGTGAACAGTGAAGTCCAGGCTGAGATGTTCTCAGATGAAGATGGGAACTTATTGGGAACTGGAGTAAAGGTCACTCTTGCTATGCATTATCAAAGAGACTGGTGGTATTGTGCCCCTGCTCTAGAGATCTGTGAAACTTTGAACTTTAGAGAGATGATTTAGGTTTTCTGGTGGAAGAAATTTCCAACCAGCGAAGAGTTCAAGATGTGGCCTGGTTGCTTCTAAAAGTCCATGTGCATTTGCATAAACAAATAAATGATGAGGAACTGTAACTTAAACTTAAAAGGGAAGCAGTGAATTAAAGTTTGGGAAATTTGCAGCCTGACTATGTGGTAGAAAAAAAAAACACCTCATTTTCTGGGGAGAAAATCAAGGCTACAGAAATTTGCATAAGTAAAGAAGAGCCAGATATTAATCACTAGACAATGCACCCAGGGCATTTCAGAGACCTTCCTGGCAGCCTGTTCCATCACGGGATTGGAGGCCTATGAGGAAGAAATGGTTTTATGCGTCAGACTCAAGGCCCCAGGTTTAACGTTAGTAGTTCTTTCTAGCAGTGTGAGTACAGACTAATACGCACACAGTTTGGCATTACTCATTTTAGATAAGCCTTTTTCACAAAGAAGGCTAATTGTAGGAATCTCAGTTTTTAGAGGAAGCACATAAAAGAGAGATTATAGATAGATTGAAAGGATGCCCCTAATTCTGTTTACTCATTTTAGGAAGTTCTTTGGTATACGGTGGCAAGAAAAGTATCACCTATAAAACAGATAAGTGGCACAGGTTATCTGCACATTTTGTACAGTCAAGTAAAAATTTAGAAATTTAGAAACTCAAATGAGCTTTTCTTGACTTGAATGGATAAGACATTAAAAATGATTACTTTTAAAAAATACTCAGCCAAAACCTAGACTAGATTTTCATGTATTATTTCCTCATGAGCATGAAGATGAAAATTGGAATTGAGCCAATTTCAACATTAAGTTTACATGTACTAAGACAGAAACAAGCTTATTCTGACTATTTAAATATGATAATAATACTAAAATGTCTGAGTTAAAGCTATCCTTCCAAATCAATATTGACAGACAGTGAGAGATTTGAGAAAGGTCAATATAAATTGTTGAACAATTGCAAGACTTAACTCTTAGGGGAATAACTATTACACTGCTGAGGAGGATGTATTTCACAAATGCAAACTTCATAAAAAAGAAATAAATAGGTAAATAAGATGAGAATAAATAATCTAACATTTAATTCACAAGTATTTAACCATCCATTTAACTACAAACAAACTAGTGAATAAAGTAGTAATATGTGTACTAATTCGAATTTGACAGATGCTTTCACATTTTAAAAACTCCAAGTAATTTTCCTTAAGTATTCTGGACTGTAACAGTGGATTTCCTGTTAAAAATGTAAGATATTTCTGATTCAGAGCACATCTCATTACTCACCTGCTATTATTCCCATGTAGTTAGCCTGTTAATAAAAACAACAACTGGTACATATCATTTGGATATTAGGACATATAATTTTTTATCTGTTAAGAGTTTATTATATCAATTCAAAAGTCTTTGGCCTTTAAATTAACTGAGAGCACATATTGGAACATTTGAAAATGTCTTCTTTTACAAAATTTATTTGTGAGACAATATTATACAACCTAGTTCCATTTAGAGTCTTATTGTAATGTATTTAGGTACCAATAATAGTATACTGAGACTTATCTTTTGAAGAATCATAACGTTTTCTTAACATTCCTTATGAATCTTCAAGTATGAGAAATTAGTTTTTATAATTTCAGTAAAATTTAGGAGCAATATGTTATATAGAATAACATTCAGATTAAAATAACTCAACTATCACTGTTTAGATAATGTATGAATATACAAAGAATATACAGTTATAAAGGATAGCTAGACCCAAGAATTCTACAGCTTTAGGTAAAAGAAAGATTATAACTATTATGGTAAGATTTTATAATTATTGGGGTAAGATTTTCTCGTATAATAAATACAAGTCCATTTTTATTTTTTCCAAGGATAACTACAAAGAACATAAGTTGCCAAAATTACATTCCACAAAGAAACTTACATTTTATACCTGAGATATAACAGTTTTAAAATGCAATTATCACCCAAGTAGGCTGCAAACAATTTGAAAATGAATTTGTGAATTCCACCATCAATTTTGAGGCTACTGAATTCAGAGTTTACCACATACTTGCTAACTTTATTGAAGGGTTGAATCATTGTTCTATGATTTTAAATGTAAATTGATATAAAAAACCTAAGAATGTATATAATTTAATAAAATAAAATATGTCCAGAAACAACTAATAATTACATTATGTATTACCTGACTTGTATAAACTTGCAAATATTCAGGGTCAAATAAATTAGGATAAGCATATAGTTATTTTTGTTATATATATTTTTGTTATGAATGACATCTGTATTAACATTTTCATCTAAATGGTTCTGTGTATACATGTTTTTGCTTCTCTTGGGTAAATACTTAAAAGTTAAATATCTATTTCTTGGTTACATGTGAGAACCAGCTACTTAATATTCCCTTGGGGTGTGTGTGTGTAAAATATTTCCTATATACATATATAATAATAAAATGGCTCACATGATTATGGATGCTGACAAATACAAAATCTACATAGCTCATGTCTCAGTTTGAGTCTGAAGGGTGGCAAGCTGCTACAGAACCAGGAAGAGCTCTGTTACAGTTCTCAGCTCTCAGGCAGAATTCTCTCTTACTTGGGGCAGGGTCAGCCTTTTGTTTAATCAGGACTTCAACCAATTAGATGAGGCCTACTCACCTCATGATGGGCAATAAGCTTTATTTAGTTTATTGTTGTAAATATTAATATCATCTGAAAACACTCTGTCACAGAAACATTCAGAATAATGTTTGGTCAAATATCTGGGAACTCCATGGTCCAAGCAAGTTGATACATAAAATTAACGACCATAAATGTTATCTTCATTCCTTCTACACAGGTCTCAAATAGTGAAGCCCAAAGAAGAATGATAAACACAGGGGATGACTTCCATTTGAAACTTAGAAAATTTCTTTGAAATAATTGTATAGTTCCTTTTTTCAGAAAATGCCAAGGATATTCTGATCCCATAAAGCTCATAACTTCTTAAAAACTTTGAAAGCAATACATATTTTGGTTACTGCATTTTATATAATTAAAGAAATTGAGAAAAACCAAGACATTAACTCTGTAGATTTTGGACTTGTCTCCATAATCTTGTGGGCCATTCTTAAATTTTATATGTATATGTGTGTGTGTGTGTGTGTGTGTGTGTGTGTGTGTGTGTATGTAAAATATTTTATACACATGCACATACATGCACATGCACACACACACACACACCACAAGCGAATATTAAGTGACTGGTTCTCAAATGTAATCAAGAAATAGCTATTTGACTTTTAAGTATTTACCCAAGAGAAACCAAAACATATATACATAGAACCATTTACATGACACTATCTTGGGTTGTACAAGAACTACAGACATTTTTGTTTTTTCCAGTTTCTGTTATTAATGACATTTCTATGAACATTTTCATCTAAATGTTTCTATGTACATATGTTTTTGTTTCTCTTGGGTAAATACATAAAAGTCAAGTGGCTATTTCTTGATTGCATGTGAGAATCAGTCATTTAATGTTCCCATGGGGTTGTTGGTATTTATTTTAGAATTTTAGATGAGTGCATATTGATATCTTACTATGGTTTAAATATCATATACTTAATGATTGATAATGTTGAAAAATGTCTTCACTTTTTTATTGGCCATTTGAATACTTTCCTTTATGAAGTATCAGTTTAAGGGTTTTTCCCCCTATTTTTTAACCAGGTAGATCATCTTTTATTGTTTAAATATATGAGCCACTTATATATTCTGGTCTGCACCCACTGTCCAACGAGTCCCAGTGAGATGAACCAGGTACCTCAGTTGGAAATGCAGAAATCACCCATCTTCTGTGTTGATCATGCTGGGAGCTGCAGACCGGAGCTGTTCCTATTCAGCCATCCTGGAACGCCCACCATTTGCTCTATTTTTTTATATTTAAAGTCCATCTTTTATAAGTAAAATGTTATTTGATCTTTAAAAATTTATTTTGAAAATGTTTTAATTTTGTTAGAGAATACAGTCCATTTATATTTATGTAAATATGATTTTGTAAAAATGCTTCCTTTTGCTAACTGCTTTCTATAATTTCTTTTTAAATACCTCCTTTCATTTTATCTTACTCAATTTTATCCTTCCTATTAGCTTTTAAGCTGTACTTCTTTTAACTTTTTACTGTTTAGTGTAAAGTTACATCATGCATGTTTACCTTATCCCAGTTACAATTATGCCACTTCACACAGAATGAGATACTACTCATTATAGAATAAGTAGATGAGTAGATGAATAGAATGAGTGGATTCTACTAAGTGCTTCCAGCATTGGAACAATGCTCTCCCCTAGCATAGCCACACACAGTATGTGAATATGTAAATTTAGTTTTCAATGATCAGTAATCCTTCAGAAGCTTTCAGTAGTGTTTGTATCTTTGTTTGTAAACAGTGTTCACTTGATTATAGTCATACATAATGTCTCAAAGGGGATCAGTCTGTAGGTATCTGCAAATATTATTGAATCACTCTGGCCATAGTTCCCTCCAGTATTGCATTATTTAAAAGAAAGTTTCAAATGTATGCTGTATTCCTTTCTTCCTTTTGTGTCTGTGGTGTGAAAATATGACACATATAGGGGCTCAGGATCTGAATGAAAAAAAGTCTAAATTTGAGGCAAAAGCTCCTGAAATTTTTACTGTATTGAGAATTTTGAAGAGTTGAGATGATATGTCAAAGGAACAAAATTTTGCTGATGGCTTCATAATAAAATTAACTTTAAACCTCTCTGCTTTTGAAAATACATCATATTTTGATTTTGGTTTTAATTTTCTGTTAGAACGTAACTATCAATTCTGTTGATAATAAAATATAATCAAAGAAGCCAAATAAAGAAAATAATTTGAATTGTTATTAATCATAGCAGATAATATAAAATTAATTTATAGTTCTATACAGCATGTAGACAAATACAGTTGAATTGTTTTTCCCCTCTACTAACTATGTTCTGTGAAAGGAAATCACTTTTTGCAGTGCATACTTAAGACGTGGAGAGTTATTTGGCACTTTTTAAATGGAAGAATGTCTACATAAGTTATTTAGAATTCTGAACAAAAAAAATTGTCCACTTGCCCTATTTGTTCATTCAATCACTTATTTATGTATTAGTAAAGATTCATAGATAATTATTTTATATTTTAGGTTACAGTTTGATACTACTTTATTTATTTGGTTGTGCAAATCTGGAATTGTTCTACCTTTGACCATTGGAGGCTCTTTCATTTGGTTCACGTGTTTCTTCGACAAACCTCATCAACTTTTGTTTTTTATTACTTCCTTACATTCTGACATTATAGAATGCTCCAACATTATCTTGTATATTCTCTACCCAGTTGTAGAATCAACTATTTCTCACGGTTCTCATTCCCTTTTTAGAAGAATGGTATTAGAAACCAAGATGTGGGTGCTAGCTATGCTCATTACTTCTGTGGTGTCATTTTTGCCAAACATTCTTCGCTGAAAGAAGAGGAAAATATATGTGCATATATTAACCTGCATACATATATACATATCTATAAACATTTTTATATGTGTCCATTTGTCCACATATTATTAAGAATGAGGTTATACTGATGCCTTTAGCTCTAATCCATTACCACATAAAACTATGTAGCTTTCTTTCCATGATTTATCCCAGTCTGAGAGTGAGAAACGCTACTTTAACCTCTGCCACCCATTTATGTGTTTCATTTCAGTGCATATGTATAATGTTTTCTGAATTATTAGTCTGTATTCCCATGATGGAGGGGAGGAAATTCCACCAAATAAAGGGCTTATATACAATTTCTTTTGTCTTAGGTCTTATAGACTTCAATCCCTTCCAAAGTTACTTGGGCCAGAATTTTCAACCCCCACACCCCATCCTAAGAACATTTCATGATGTTATTTGGTACACACTTTAAGGCAATTATTTTTTCATAGTCTGCATTCTGTCATGGAATTCCTCCACCTCTAAATATCTATTTTTTGAGATTGCAGGCATTAATGTTCACTCTGTGCTATAAAGTTTTACAGGTTTTGACAAGTTCATAGTCTTATGTATCCACCATTACTGTAGCATACAGAATAAATTCAACACCTCTGTCCCATCCCGCAAATCCTAGGGACTTCACCTAGTCCGTACATTACCACCCCCCACAAACCTCTGGCAATCATTGATTTTTTTATGAATTCTATAATTCTGGCATTCCCAGAATATTCTCTAAGTGGAATCATATGGCATTAGGTTTTCCAGCCTGTCTTCTTTATTTCCTTTTTTAAAATTATTATTATATTTTTCAGACAGCGTTTCACTCAGTCACCCAGGCTGGAGTGTAGCTATGCAGTCACTGTTCACTGCAGCCTTTACTTCCTCAGCTCAAGCTATCCTCCCCCACTCAGCCTCTCCAGTAGCTGGGACTAAAGGCCTGTGCCATCAAACCTGGCTAATTTTTGTAATATTTTTGGAGAGATGAGGTTTTGCTATGTTGCCCAGAGTCGTCTTGAGCTCCTGGGTCCATCTGCCTCTGCCTCCCAAAGTGCTGGGCTTACAGGCATGAGTCACTGTGCATACCTTGGCCTCTTTCATTTAGCAATATGTATACATGATTCTTCCAGATTTTTACCTAATTTGATAACATCTCTTTTTATTGCTAAGTAGTTGTCCAATGTATGAATGTACCATAGTTTATTTATCCTTTCATCTATTGAAAGATATTTTGTTTCTCTCCAAGTTTTGGATTATGACTTAATATTCTATACATATCCATGTGCAGGTTTTTGTGTTGCCATGTTTTTCAAATTAATTTGGTAGAATCTAAAGTCACGAGTGCTGTATTTTATGTTAAGACTATATTTAGTTTTGTAGAAACTGACAAATTGTCTTGCAAAGTGGTTTTACCATCTTGCATTTTTCACCAGCCATGAATAAAAGTTTCTGTTTCTCCAAATCCTCACCAATGACTGAGTAATAATTGCAAAGAATTTTCATATCTTCCTTGTACATCAGACCCCAGGGCCATGCAAAATAATAATGTTTCATTCTGGAGTAGAACTGGGGATTCAAGGTAAGTGTGAAATTTAAGATTTAAGATTTTAATTGCAGGTATTGCTCAGTCACTGGTAAGAATGTAAAGCAACAGGAAATTTTAAGCATGGCTAGTGAAAATGCAAAATGGTAAAGCCACTTTGTAAGACAATTTGGCAGTTTCTACAAAGCTAAACATAGGTTACTATATGATTCAGCATTCGTGATCTTAGATCCTTACATATGTGTGTGTGTCTGTATGTATACACACAAACACATTGAGACATGCAAAGAGAAGTTTTGAAATATTTTGAGAAATATTAAGAATTTTGAATATAGCCTATATATATGTTTGTATGTGTATACATCTATCTATGTATAAATATATATATACATATTTCTAAAAACAGATATCTGTCTATCCATCAGAAGGGGATTATTCTGTTCTGCTGTTTTTCATATAAAAATGATTATTATTTTTCATTATGACATATAGCTATTTTGTTTAAAAAATACCTGTGTCTTTAAAATTGGTTTGTCATAACCTCCAATAATTTTTTCTGACCTATGCTGTACAATATGAGATATATTTCATATCTGTCAAAGACCTTAGAAATCTAATAGCATTTCAACTTTCACAATATTTAAAATTTTACTCATAATATTTATTCAGTATTCTTTATGTGCATGTCTATATATGAATTTTATATATAATTCTATAACTAAATATAATATTATAGAATAAATATATAAATTATATATAATTCTAACATATATAATAGAATAAATATATAAATTATATATATTCCATGTATTCTATTCTAGTATAGAATATAATATATAATATATATAATATATAGACTATAGAATCTATAGAATATTTATATATTCTCTCTATATATTCTATTATGTAAATTCTATAATATAAAATATTATAAGACTTTTAGATTTATAAGGTTTAACTGCATGGCATTTTGGGTATTATTTTGCATAAGAATATATATTTATAATAACATAGGGAAATCAAATAGTTAAAGGAAATCCTAAAGTTGTAAACTTTGTGTTTAGTCAGTTGCTAGAAGTCCTTAAGACAATTAAGCAATGTAGAAATCACTGTGCATTACCTTCTTCTTCAAATCGGACAGATCCCCAATTTGAGCCACCTCTGAATTAAGGTGTGGTTAAATCTGAGAATGAGTGTGTGAGTGTGTGTGAGAGAGTGTCTGTGTGTATACGTTGTGTACATATACACACAAACACACAGTTTGTGTACATATATATAAACATATATGTACATATATATGTAATATATATGCTTGTGTACATGTATATGTAACTATTTCTTATAAAATGCTATTGAAAATGAGCAATAATTGATTTGAGCAATTTTTTTTATAACTTAATGTAGCCTTACATAATCTCTATGCTAAGTTTGATATTTCACAGTCAAAATCAAATGTACAAAATTAAAGAGCAAAACAAATAGCAATTACATAAGAAATGACTTAGCAGCTGTCAGCTTATGCAAGAAATGGCAGTGCACCAATTACCTTGGCATCCATGAAGCTGTTACTATGGCTGTTGTTGCCTCTGTCTCTGCTGAGGTTAACAGCAATCATAAGACACTTTTTTGGTTCATTTACTCAGGCTGTTGATTAACACAGATTCAATGCCAGGACAGTGTTACAATCAACTGAACTGCCATCTAGACTTAACATTATCAAGGATGCACTTCTGCTAGTATTCGTTTCAAAGTATCATTTAGAAAACTATATACTACTTCAAGGTAATTAATTGTAAGACATGAGTGTGTGTGTGCGTGTGTGTTTGTGTATGTGTTTACATGTGGTTTTCATAGCAGTAGGCAGTGCTACATTTAGTGTTAAGAGTCTCAAAGATTTTACTACCTGTCACCAAAGCCATATGCTCATTGGTGTCGTTATTCTATGAATGCGTTAGGAAATATTGCATAAACACTGCATACATTTACATAAAATTGTCAGTTTTAAAAGCCTATTCATATCCACTATTTTGCTTGATAATTACTGCAATACAATCCAGTGAAAACAGCATGGTAGACACTATTATAACAGTTTTAAAGGTGAGAAATTGAGGCTCTAGAGGGTAAGTGATTGTCCAGTGTGATGATAGGATTAGGCACGAGTTGCCAAATATGCATGTCCATGGTAGGACTTTTTTTTCTTATTGTTTTTCTCCATAGAACCAGGCAAACATTATCTTCCAGGCTTGTGAAGCCATATTCCTTATAACATACCAAGAGAGGATATTGAAACATTTTATTTTCACCATGATTATTGCATTTTGGATAGGTAGCACTAATATTAAAATTCAGGAAATTATAATAATCTTTAGGTCATATACTGGTTTCCCAGGGATATAAACTGCACCTCACATTTGAGCACTATTAATTACTTTGCCTAAAATAAATATCATAGCTATTTAGTGGATTCTTTTCAGAGAATAAAGTATATTTTTAATAGTTCATTTTGATCTCCATAGCTGGTTTCACGGCTTTTTTGGTAGTTCTTTATCTCCCAGACATCATTTTTATAATTAAACTTCTTTTCAAATGTTGCCACTATCATGTTTCATCAAAAACCTGGGAGGACAGATGAAATTATACCTCTGAATTTGAGGATGTCCTGAGTAGTCAAAGAATAGTGATCATTGATGATAAAAAATGAATAACTCATGAACTATAAGTTCATTAAAAATGAAATTCATTATCTTGCACATGAGCACATAAAGACACATCCATAGTTATTCATCACAGGTTTATCATTACAACACAAAACAGGAAACTGAAATGTCATTCTTGAAGAAAGAAATAAACACATACCTGTGCTTATCAACATTTGCAATCCTGAAATCATAGTGTTGAATAAATACAGCATGCTTGATAGTCTCACATACAGAAGACAATTATAGAACTGACAATTTCAAAACTAATGTTTGAATGGAACATAAGTTAGTATTAAGGTATAAAACCAAAGACAATAATTTCATGACAGTAGTTGCCTCAGGGGTGGAAGAAAGAGAGGAGAAAACACTGGGGACTTCAATTTTCATCTGCCTTTGTGTCTTGAATAAACATTTAAGGACATAATCATGGTCATTATTATGTTCTTCAATTCTGGGTGCTTGATACATAAGCATTTATTTTGTTTAGTCATGTAGTTTTTTAAAAGTAATATTTAGATCACATTTCTAGGAAATTTTCTTCCTACATTCTTCCTAATCATGTATGATGATAAATTTAAATTTTCCCAATTTTTAATGTAGGATTTTTTTCTGGAAATTTATTTATAAAAAGAAATTTATTTATAAAATAAATATTTTTTTCTTATAAATTAGTGAATCACTGTGATCTTCATAAAAATCATGTTCCTTAGTGTTATTTAATCCTACATCAGGTTGGCATCTTTAGAGGACTTCAGAACTGTTTAGGCGATGTGATATAAAATTAAGCTCACTGAAAGACTACTATAACTTAAGTGATGTGTATTAAATCAATCCTTTCTATTACTGAGCATATTGGTAAAGGTGTTTTTGGGATTAAATCTGCCTTCCACAAATTTTATTTAAATAAATAGAATTACCATTCAACTTATTTTATGAAAGTATTTAAAAGTATATTAAAATATTTTAAGATACACATATTATTTGCCTATAAAATAATAAAATCAATTGAACTTTTAAAATCATTCATATATTTGTCATACTTAAGCAACAAATTAGTTTATTTGTCAAATAACTTGTGTTAGAGAGATGACTTTTAGTATTGAAGCATTAAATGTGGCAACAAATTATTCTTATTCAAATATCTAGTAATAAAATGTCTGAATTTATCAAATCCTACATGTATAAAGGCTGCTTGAATCAGGTAGCATTGTGAACTTGTGTCAAGCCAGTGGAGAACTATAGAGCCTGATGTGGCTGGACTGTAACAGTGAAAGGTATTTGATCTGTGAGATTACAAAGGGACTTTCAAGACCAGAGAGACAGCAGAAAAGGAATAGGTACTCCTGTTATGGAAGAAGAAACTGTACCTGTCAGGGATTTAGCACAAAGACTGGGTGGTGCTGAGTAGGCTGCAGAGGTCAAGACAGGGCAGGCAGTACCTACTCTCATTGCTCACCATGTGTGAGTTCAGGCAACATAAAAAACATTGGTAAGGGGATTACTTGAATGAAAGCAAAAATATATTTTTACTGGTCATTTGGGTTTATATTATTTGAAATAGTGTAATGGTAGGATTTTTCAAGTTTTATAAGAAAAATAGGACCATTACTATATCATATTATCTTCATAAAAGATATGACATATTTAAAATCATATAATTAGGGTAAAACATTATAATACACAAATTGGGTGTTTGAATTACCAATGTAAAGCAAATCTTTGAGTATATGGATAGTACTAGTGAACAGGATGAGTCAAAGATTAAAATCTGTATTTGTATACATGTATTTTACCTTATTGGCACAGATGAATCCAGCAATAAGAACATCTGCGCTTGGAACAACTTAGGCTTCAGATTCAGATATCAGCAAACGAAAGAATAAAAATATGAATTATAAGTACTCTATTTAAATATTCCTCCATCTGGAAATAATCCAATGCCATGAAAATAAGATTATTTCTTCTTTGCTGATAAGATCCATCTTTGGTTCTGCTTACACACATGCAAAATAAAGTGAAAATTTGAAGTAATTATTTGATAATTTATGCCACCAAATATTTTTGCTTAAATAGAATGAATATGAGGATAGCTGGACCAATTTTCCATTTCACTGTCATTGTTTTTAGATGATACAGAAACACATTACTATGGAAAATAAATTGGCAATCTCATGCTGATTTTAAATACATATTTTGGAGACTTTTTATCCTTTTTTTGAAATTCAAGTATTAGCTTGTAAAATATCTAGGGAATTTATTTGTTCTTTGGGTATTTAGACATTCTGTTTTATTTTGCGTAATGGAGAGATCATCAAAGAACCTGAAGTAGGTGTTATAACTTTATTTGTTATATTAAAAAAATCAAACAATATATTTAGCTTGAGAAACCAATTGCAAAACTGTCTAGGAGGAATTAGCTTCCATTAACGTGAAATAGTTTATGAAATTCTTTGAAAGAATTTCATAAACTATTTACAGAGTAACATATCAGTTCAAGGAACTGATGTGATAAAATTAAAAATCTAGGCTGTAGCTCACTGCAGTGAATGTAAAGAAGAAGCCATATTTAAAAAGAAAGTAGGATTCAAAAAGGTAACAAGTGCATTAAACGTGGATCTTCCACCTTCATGCTTAAACTATTTAGTTTAATCAAACATTCTATTTCTATTCTTATTTATTCTAGTTCTAAAAGTAGTATATTTTTAATAAAGTAAGTTTGTAGTTAGATTTCGTAAGTGTTTGTAGCACTTTCACTTAATGTAAAGCAGCCTAACAGCAGCATATGTGGTCACAGCTAAGCATGGGATAGTTCCAGCCTATTGCTAGTTTACAGTTGCAGTGCATTCTGCAATTTCAGCATCGTTGCTAAGGAAAATTATACTGATGCACAAGGCACATTCTGAAAATTTGTTTTTTGTTGATTTTTAAAGAATTTATCTGAAATATTGAGCACTTTGCAACCAATTTTTAATGCTATGATGCCAAATTTTAATCTACTGTTATTTTAAAGGAGACTTAAAAAGTTATGTCAATCAAACATTTGCAACTTGTTTGGATCTTGATATAGAAGGAAAAAACATGTCTTGAAAAATTGCTGAAAGTTGGAATGTTGATGTGATATTATATGTGATTAAGGCCTTTTTATTAATATTGTTAGTTTTGATAATGTTACTGTAGGGAAGAGAGAGAGGTTGAGAGACAGATCTGATCCATTAGAGATACACATTTACACATCCCAAATCATTGTGGATAAAAAGCTGACATTTGGAGTTTGCTTTAGAACATTCTAGTGAAGGGAATAAAGTGTGCAGGTGTAGAGTTGAAAGAAAATGCCCAAATTTTGATAATAATTGCACAAGGTAATGAGTACACAAGAGGCGGTGAGTGTAGGTATGTGTCACTATTGCCTCTACTTTATGGACCAGAAATTGTTCTAAATGCTTTTCATATTTAAATTATAATTCTTACAGCAAGGCCAGACACAGTGGCTCATGCTTGTAATCCCAGCACTTTGAAAGGCTGAGGTGGGAGGATCGTTGGATCCCAGAGTTTTAAACCAACCCCAGGCAACAAAATGAGTTTATGCCTCTATAAAAGAGAAAAAGTAAACTAGCTGGGTATAGTGGCACATACCTGTATCCCAGCTTTGGGAGGCTGAGGCAGGAAGATCTCTTGAGTCCAGGGGTTTGAGGTTACAGTGAGATGATCCATGCTGTCCCAAAAATAATAATTAATAATAATAATAATCCTCACAGCAACCCTATGAGTACTATTATTTTCTCCACTTTACAGATTCAGAATGTGAGGCCCAGAGAAATGAAGCAGTTCCTCACATATATCTCTGCAGATTTTAACAAATAGATTAAAGCCACAGACAGGAACTAGGTTCTTCTAAAAGCCTCAGACTGGAAATAGGTTTATCTAAAGGTTTCACTTCCTGAAAAGCATGTTTAATGATCCTACTCTTTAAGGGAAGAGATCCAGAGAGACATGGGTGCTACCAATTTCTTCTTTCTTTTCATTCTGTTCTTAAAATTACTCTATTGTCTTTTTATTGCCAGAAAACTAGGCTTGGAAGATTTTATTTTCTTAGGAGCATGCCTGAAGTCTTAAAGGTAAAACAAGAATGTTTTTGAGGAAAATCAGAATTATCAACCGCAAAGATGACAGTGAGGGAGGGATAAAGTCACATACGAGGGTTAGAGGCCCTTTCTTTCTTCATCCTTGTAGTACTATGACTGCGCTTGTCAGTAAAATCTTATTAAAGAAGTTTGTGTCCACCTATTTTTTCGTGGAAAACTGAGATAAGACAATAAATATTCAACATGTGCATTGAAAAAGTACATTTAATGGTCATATGAGCATAGGGCTGAATTACTTATACCTTACATACTTAATATGTAATATACTATGAGACTTCAATTTTATAGGAAAAGAGGAATTTTTGTTAGTAAATTGTTTTCATTTATAATAAATGAATAATCTTTGTACTCAGTATTTTTTCATGATTTTTATGGCAAACAAAAGATACAGCATCTTGGCCTACTATGTATCTGCGGCAATGTTACATAAACTGTGTGATTATAATTTTCATTATCCATTAAATTTAAAGAATTATAATATCTTTGTCTACTTCTCAAAATTGCACTGATAATATTGACATGAAAGTGTTCTGAGAGTTATTCTTTCAGTAGCTAAAACTCTTATGCTCCTTAAGTAAATAGTTACTGTTTTTGTTATTTATCACTAGTTGTAAATCACTGTACAGTGAGTTATCACGGCTGTAAACATATCACAAACCAGACTCCTCCTTGTAATTTTCTGGCAAGACATTTTGTGAAACCTCTTCTTCACTTTAGTTGGAAGCTGTGTATCTTATTACCCTGCATTCCATCCACCCCATGCGACATGTGCATGACATAGAGAAAAATACGCATCCCATGTATAAGAAGAAAATGTCTTTGATATTTACATAGGGACATTGAGGGAGAAGATTCTATTTTCCATGTGCAAAAAAAAAATGTGTCAGAATAAAACCAAGGAAGAATATGTAGCACCAAAACATGGTCAGTTTCTAGCACCGCAGTCTGAGACAAAAAGTACAATTGTACCTAATAGCAGTTTTATTCCTTAACTGAGAGGCTCAATACATTTTCTGGCTAGTTGGAACTGGGCTTCACAGTTTTTATTTTTAAAAAATAATTCTAATATCCTTTTCCACCTTGAGTCATGCAAACACCAAGTCTGAATGTGCTTGACCAGATCATTTATTAATGTTGCCAATTGCTAGAAGGAAAAATTAAAAATAAGCGCATTACTCCAAAGAATACTATGCAGCCTTAAAAAAAATCATGTTCTTTGCAGCAACATGAATGCAGCTAGAGGCCATGATCCTAAGCAAATTAATGAAGGGACAGCAAATCAAATACCATATGTTCTTGGTTATTAGCAGGAACTAAACCTTAGGCACATGGGGACACAAACATAGAAACAATAGACAATGAGGACTTCCTGAGGTGGGAGTGCAGGAGGAAGGTGTGTGTTGAGAAACTACCTATAGGATACTATGCTCACTACCTGGGTGATGAGATCATTTGTACACCAAACCTCAGTGACACACAATTTACCCATGTAACAAACCTGTATACGTACCCCCTGAACCTAACATAAAAATAAAAATAAAAAATAAGCATTACTAAAATAATTTTTGATATTAAAAATTTTTAAGTATTAGATCTGCTTATACTGTCTTTCATGTAATTTTATATTAATATTCCTTGAAAATGTGGGTGATTCACTGCAGCTAGTTTATTTATAAACACAATATGCACTATGACTAATGTAAAGAGAGTGAAGGGTGTTTCTTATGACAGAGGAAGGATGCTCAAATATATGATATTCTCATCTGTAAATGAGTATATAAACAAGACTTGCAGAAAGCATCATGAAAAAGAAAAAATATACTATTCACCTGCTGACTTCTTCCTGTATAAAAGGTTATCTGACAGAGCCTTCTACTTTTATCCATAACGCCAAGTAGAAGCAAACAACTCAAAGAAAATTATATTGAGACAGGATTCTGGATGGTTAGGTTTAAGACATAAACACACACATGCACATGCACACACACAAATATCTGACGTGATTGAAAACACTTTGATGTCAGGTTCTAAAATCATTAGCATTCTCTTCGACATTCTTAGATTATGTAAGCACAAATTGTTTGCACCTTTAAAAAATTACACCTAATTCTTTAAAACAATCATTCAACAGCTTATACAAATTATGGAATACATTATTTCATCTACTGAATTTTTGAGCATTCAAGAGTTCCACTGTAAATTAATGAAATGAGGAACAACTATGTGTCAATCTGAGTATACAAAGTCTAAAAACCCTGGTCCTCACTTTCAAGATGCTCATATCAATGATAATAAACTAGTAATATTTAATGATAGATTTGAAAGCCTAGACAAGGGGAAGGAGCTGAGTGTTATTAAATGTTGAAGTAAATAAATGTAATGATACTTTTAAGTAAAACAGAGTTGAGAGGTTGATTTCTTTGTAAACATGTTTCTGTTGCGTTCTCATCCTTCAAACACTGCTACTGTTTAAGTTTTGTACCACTATGATCCTGTAAGCTAATATTGTAATATTCTGGTTTCTTTTCACTTTGAAAAACAAAAATAGCCTACTGAATTTTTAAAAACCTATTGTCCTTAGCTATTCTTATGCTAAAAGTTTAACATAACTGAAAAGAAAAATAGACAATTATTTCTCACTAGATCATCAGGGTGTTTTTTTTCTAATTAAAAAATTACATTTTGTCAAATTTCATTTCGTTTTATCATTTATTCTTAGAACATTGTTTATAATACCATTTTTCCAAAGTTCCACAGCAAATATATTGACTATACAAGCTAGACCCTATTGTGGGAGGATGTGGTCATGAGTATGTTTAAAGTTCTATTTTCATGCATATTTCTGAATATTTTTAAACCAAAAAATATTCTAAAGTAGTTTGTTAGTACCTAATGTTCTATCTTTTTTTGATATACTGTTTCACTTCATTACTCTTAGAACTAATTCTGTCCTTTTTGCATCAGCCAACAATAATTGATTACTAAGATTTTATTTCACTGCACTAAGGGTTATCAAGGAAAGATAGACAGTAGATGAGATATGGGAAGTGTTTTTAATAATTGGTACAATATTACAAGTAAACAAATTTTTGCTCACTAATGTCATGTAAGCTTTGTCTCTTCACAGGAAATATTCAAGATCTGTAACACTGATTTTTATTTCAGCCACTTATTTTTACAGTAAATATTTTATCCAAGTACATCATGTGCCTAGAAAAGTACACCAATAAAAAGTAGGTTGTTTGATAAGTTTTTCACTAAATGAATTCAATGGTGTAACTGGCAAGAGGAACAAGAAACAGAACTTCTCCAGAAACTGCACACTCTCTCCTTCCCTCTTCTCAATACTGCTCTCCCCAAGCCTTACCAGTATTCTGATTTGTAGCCTCATAATTAGTTTTTGAATATTATGCAAATGATATCATCCAATATACATGTACTTTTTGAATTGACTTGTCTCATTTAACACTATGCAGTTGAGAGTCATCCATATGGTTGTATGTAATTGTAGTTTATCCATTTTCATTGCGGTAAAGTATTATTTTGTTGTATAAATGTAATACAATTTATGTATCAATGTGTTTTTGATAACATTTGTATTGGTTTCCTTTTGGGCAAGTATAAGTAGTGTCACTTTTAAAATCCCTGTATATAACATTTTGAGAACATATTACATATTTACATGAGAACATAACTGGTAGTAAAATTATTGAGTTACAGTATATTTATACACTCCTTTTAACATATTCTGCCTATCAGTTTTACATTTCTATCAGCTACATATGAGAATTTAAGTTGCTCCATATCCTTGCCAATACTTCTTATTTTCCTCATTTTCATTTTAGCAATCCTAACAGCTGTGTAATAGTAGAATATTATAGGTTTCTCTCTCTCAGCTTTATTGAGGTATAATAATTCCAAATAAAAACTGTATCTCATACTGGCCAACATGGTAAAACACCGCCTCTACTAAAAATACAAAAAATTAACTGGGCGTGGTAGTGCACGCCTGTAGTCCCAGCTACTCAGGAGGCTGAGGCAGGAGAATCGCTTGAACCCAGGAGGCGGAGGTTGCAGTGAGCGGAGATCGCACCACTGCACTCCAGCCTGGCAACAAAGCAAGACTCCGTCTCAAAAAAAAAAAAAAAAAAATTATACCTATTTAAGGTGTACAACACGATGTTTTTGTATATGTATGCATTGCTAAATGATTACCACAATCAGGCTAATTAAAATATCCACCATCTTACATTGGTATCAATTTTGGGGGAAAGATGAAAACATTTAATACCTACTCTTGCAAATTTCAAGTATACATTACAGTATTATTCACAATAGTCACCTTGCTTTACATTAGATTTGTAGGATATTATAGTTTTAATTTGTATTTTTATGACCAATAAAATAATCACATTTTCTGTGTTCATTGGCCATTTGGATATTACATTTTATAAAAGGCCTATCCAATTCATTTTCTCATACATCTATGGGATTGCCTGAATTTCTCTATTGATTTGTAAGATTGCATATGTGTAATTAGGAGTCACCTTTGAAATTTAATGTGAACTGTGTTAGGCTTATGAAGACTAAATATAGTTTTAATTCAAATGATGATTTCAGTGGATTGCTAGCATTTGTTTGGAGTTCCGTACATTTTCTGATTTTGCATTAAGCAAGTGTGGGCCCAGGAGACTTTTTTTTTTTTTTTAGTTTTGAGTTTCATGATTTAACTAAGAAAAAATATAAAACAGCTTTCTTCATTCCTTCTTTTCTTTGTGTCAAGGCCCGGTTTTGCCTTAGTTTACAAGCCTGGATAAAGGGATAATCAAGGAGTGGGTACTTCCTTCCCAGTCCAATAAAGATTCTTAACCTATATTATTGCACTTGGTAGTAGAAATGAAAGATTGAGCAGAGAAATCCTAAGTATAAAGGCACCCCAAACCAAACCGAAGAGGATGAGTCTTTCATTGAAACTATACAGATTTTAACTGTGCTTTTCCTTTCACTGAATGTACAAATTTGTCCTAGAAATCTATATTTTGGTCAATATTATACTTTTTAATAATATTATTTAGGTATCTTGGTTGCAAATAACAGACTCCAGTTCTGGCTAATATATCACTCTACCTCCAGCCACTCCAAGATACTGTGAAGACATATGCTAACTCATAGGCTTATAGGCAAAATTGGCCTAAGTCTCTGAAGGACAGGCATTTTGTAGCTACAGGGATCTAGAAATTAGAAGCTAATGAACAGATTAATCAGGCAGAAAATAGCTTTTATTTTTTTTTGTCGTATCCCTCAGGATTGCATTTTCTGCCAGAGAGAATTCAAGTGTTTTGTATTAGATTGAATGCTGATATTTGGCCAGAGGAGAAAAGGGTACCTTGACTAAACACATTTTCATGCAAATGTTATTAAGCAGTTTCCACCAGCCAAGATGTGTTGTTGATACCAGAAAAAGGTTTGAGGGAGTAGCATGCAATGCCTGTAAAACAAAATGACATGTAATCACTATGCTGTTTTAAGTGGTGGTTGAAAGAACAGAAATTGACATCTTGCTAAAGGTTAATATTTTATATTAATTCCTTAGTCAAACTGAATTACAATAACCTATTTTAGGAAAAAGAGATTAAATAAGATAAACTGTATTATATAGTAAAGATGAGTGACTAAATTTGGGCAAAAGAGATATTACACTTATAATCCTATGACACTTAATGGGATACCATAATCAGCAAAATTCTAGGGTATGTCAGATAAATATTAATACATACTTTTGATAAAATTAATCCTGGTACAAGTTCAAATGTAAGATTTATATCTCAATATAAAATCAATACTAAAATATTTTCACTTAAATGCCTCTGTAAAAAAAAAATTACAATTCTCTTAATGTAACTTACATATGGTGGATAATAAAAGATTAGAAATCACTCAGCAGCATATGTGTTTCCCTCTAAGCTGTTACTAATCATTTGGAGCTTAAACACTAATATTTTAATGTTGCTTCCTTTTTACTATATTATAATGTCTGCTATACTAGAGAGTTGGAAGTACTAGAGAGGGAGAGTTTATCTCCAGAGGGTGATATTATTTTAATGGTTATATCAGGAAATATCTTCACATCTCATCAAAGTGACAAGGTTTCCTGCTTATAAATAAATGTTTTCCCAAAATGACCAGAGCAAAAGCATAATTTAAAATACATCAAAAAAGCCAACCCTCCCCCCACAGTAAAAAAAAAAAAAAAAAAGGCAGGGTCATGCATCATGTATACTAAAATGGGATGGACAGGGAAGAAAAAAAAAATCAAAATGAGAAAAGAAGGGAGGGAAAAAAGGGATAGGATGACAAAACAAATAAGAGAAAAGACTCAATACAGAAGGCAGGACAGAGGCTAAGAAAAACGAAAATGATCAGTGTCAGTACACAGTAAAGAAACCCTAGAGCTGGCCAAGTCCTGATGCTAACAGCAGGACACTGAGATACCTGCAATGGGAGTCCATAAGCCACAGCAAAGCACAAAAGAACAAGATAAGAGGGCTACCAATTCAGCAAGCACGATCAGGGGTGATGTACTGGGACATACAGGAAAAGGACAACAAAGAGACTGAAAATGACACAAGGGTTTAGCTAACTCTGGTGACTGAACTCTTGCCAAAACCTGTGGGAAATCAGACTAGCCATCTCAAAAAAAAAAAAAAGGTAGTTTTTATATAACCAACTTAGAGATACAACTGTATGTGTGTTTTTAAATTGTCCGTTTTATATCTAATTTAAATGCATACTCGACTTCAGTTATCCTAATATTTGGTGATTGTTGACAGTTTATAGAGAACAAATACACAAACTTCACAGTGGCTCACTATTTATTGGCAACTCCAAAATACCTTTTGTATCATAATCCAGATTTGTTATATTAGTTAACAGAGTGATAAATAAGTTCAAGTCCAAAGGATGTAATTTCATAAAATTAATGGTTAAATTTATGAATATTTATTTGAATATTCAATTACACTTATTGCTCTTTCCTAAAACTTGTGAAAAAAAGTGGTTATATAAATGATAAGAAGGAGACATCATGTAGACAATAGAATTAAGGATTATAAAAAAGGAAATCATTAAGTATGCTGTATCAGAGAAATTCTAGGCTTGGTAGTATGTGTTGTTCTTGGATGATGTGTTCCATTGTTGGTAAAAATCTAAAAACTGAAAAACTTATAGAATGATGAAAATAATTGTTAAAAATCTTGTTTATAATTTAAGAAGTACGTGTGGTTGTTGTTGTTTTAGTCCTCTGGAAAGAGAACTACATTGTCTAATATATACCCCTTGTTCTAATTATTGCCTTTTAATATTGGTATGAGATCTGATACTTTTAACACCATATTTATATGCAATCAATTACATAAAATTAAGAATCAATTTTTATTTATTCTCAACTTTTTCCGTTTTACTAAAATTCTCATTTTAAAATTTTAAACACATATGAGTTATGTTAATTTCTAGAAATTCTTGTCAATTGTCTCGTCACTGAACTGATAACCAGATTGTTCTCTAGATCAAGCTGACTATGCCTTTTCCTATAGATCTGGTTATAGGACAACTGTACACAGGCAGACAGCTTTAGGGTTTAGAGTAGAATATCTCATCTTTAATAACACTAAACCTCATAAGTATTTGCTTTTATTGCTGGCTCTGTTTTAATATTTTGATTGCACATCACCAAATATAAATTGCTTTTGAGCAAAATGCTTAGAAGTATGATACTAGTTTGTGTTCACTTTGAAAACAAACAAAAACAAATATGATACAAAACAGAAGTAGAGACTCATTTTTAAGAGCATCCAATTTTAAGCTCAAATTTAGTCTCTTCTAATTTCACATACACACAAATATATGCAATTGTGAAAAAAGGTACATTTTCAAGATACCATAGAACAGAGAATAAAGATATCCAATAAACATAATGTGGTAAAAATATATTAGTTTATGAACTATGGAGTTGGGTTAAGAAAATATATTAGTGAAATCATTACTAGAATTAGTTTATGACTGTCCATTATTCTTCCAAAAATTCAGAAAGAAATGTGTTATATTGTCTAAAGTTTTTCCACTTTCCTAGATAAATAAGTTTCTCACTAATCAGAAAATTGGACATTTATAATTCTGCTGTACATAGACAGTTGTATAGGGTAACAAGAGCAGTGTTTCCTAAAATCAAACCATGTAAGTGTATATATATGAAAGTTAGAAGAGACTACAGGAAAAAGAAGAGAGAGCTAAAGACAGCAATGTGCATTGGGTATTAATATATTTCTGCTACTCTCTCTCTCATTTCAGAGTATTAAGAAATAGGAAGCACAACTGTACACTGGCAGACAACCTTAGAGTTTAGAGTAGAATATCTCATCTTTAATAACACTAAATCTATAAGTATTTGTTTTTGTTGATATCTCTGTTTTAAAGTAGAAATATTTCCCACCTTGAGACAACAAAGATAACCTAGAAAAATATCAGTAGAAATGAGATCATGACGGAAATCATGTCAATCACTTTGCTCTACAGCTGGAAACCTACAAAAGGTGAAGCCCACTGTCATTGGTAAACAGTAAGTGAGTCAAAGACTACTCATTTGGTCCATCTCTTGAAAATCCTAATTTAAGATAGACTCAATCTTTTTAAGACTAAAGATGAAAAATGACCCCTGAGGCAAATATTATAATATAGGTTTTAAGATTATCATGTCAAAAAATCAAAAAGAGCATATCAGCAAAAAATGTTCATGGGATTTAGAATAAACTTTTACAAAACTGTTCAGCATCCTCAAGTTAATTTCCCTGCAGGAACATCAAATTAAACAACTATCCATATGAGAAATCACCTTCACAAGAATTAAAAAATCAGATGAGAGATCATAGTAGGTAGTTTTAGCATAACAAGAAAAGACACACTGAAGAGAGTAGGAAGGGCAGTTTCACATTGCCTACACCACACTGCTCGAACCCCTGGCAGGGCAATGGGGAGAGAAAACCCGTGTGCTTGTGGGAGGGAGAAGGAAGTGAGTGTAGGACTTGACACTGTAACTCAGTGCTGGCTCCATCGTAATGGAACACAGCACTGGGTAGAATTCTGTGGTCCTTGATTTCAGGCTGGTGCCCATGAAGGAAACACTTAAATCTGCTCAAAGCTAGAGGGGAATCTCCCTCTTCTGCAGGAGGAAATTGAGTACCTGCCTACTTCACTACCAACTGAATAAAGCGGCTTCCAGTACCAAATAATTTTTTTAATTTTTTTTTATTTCAATAGGTTTTTCAGGAACAGGTAGTATTTGGTTAAATCATTAAGTTCTTTAGTGATAATTTCAGAGATTTTGGTGCAAATAAATTTTAGTGGCAGACATCCTGTAGTGACTGACCATGGTTCTTGGTCAAATGTCAGTGTTGCTCTGGTCTAGGAGGTTGTGAGCTCAGGGTGTAATTCAGTGTAACACCAGGTTCACTGGCCACAGGAGTACCTGCGTCACCCCTCATCCATCTCCATGCAGTGCATCATGGAGAGAGACGCCATTTGGCGGAAGAAGAGAGACATCCACAGGGGACTTTACCTTAAAACCTAGTACCAGCACCACAATAGTAAGGCAGCCCTGGAAAGAGCCCCCAAACCCTTAATTTCAGGCTCTTGCCCCTGAAGAGGGCTTTTAAACCTATCCTGGGCCAGAAGGGAATGCATTACTGAGTGGATTCACCACTAGCTGACTACCGTGGCCTCAGGAATTGAACAAATAGTGGTCACAGTCTTTGGACTATCCCTGGGACTTTATTGGTCTGGGAGGCCATGGGCTTGTGGTGTGGTGCCAGCAGTGGTCACAGGAGTGCCCATATCATTCCTGCCTCAACTCCAGGCATCTCAGAACATCATGAGACTCCATTTGCTTAGAGAACAAAGAGGCAAGTGAGCAAGGGACTTTACTTGGGATCCCAGGAAATTCTTCCTAATCTTCACCAAGCCCATCAAGGCTGAGTATGTAGGAATCTGCACTTAGCATGCCCTTTTGTGTGGAAATAGTTGCAGCAACAACAGGCTTAGGAAACTCAACAATTAGTCCCCTTTGAACTCTTGGAAAGTCCTTTGGAAAAGGACAAATACAAATAAGGTAAGATGTGAAGGCTAGATTAATATCTAATTCTTCAATGCCCAAACAGTAACAAACATTCGCAAACATTAATAAAATTTTGGAAAATATAACCTCACCAAATGAACTAAATAAGACACCATAATCAGCCCTGTAGGGATGAAGATATGTAACCTCTCTGACAGGGAATTAAAATTCGTTGTTTTGAGAAAGTTCAATGAACTTCAGGAAAACATGCAAATATATACACATAAACAATTTGTTAATTTATTATAAAAAATTAACAAAAAGATTGAAATAATTTTAAAATGTCAAATGGAAATCCTGTAGCTAAAAAATACAATTGACAAAGTGAAATTGAATAAACGTCACAACAGCAGAATTGATCAAACAGAAAAAAATAATTGGTAAGCTCAAAGGTAGGCTATTTAAAATACAAAGTCAAGACCGCAGCCGCGGAGCCGCGATGCCTAAAGGAGGGAGAAAGGGAGGCCACAAAGGCCAGGCGAGGCAGTATACGAGCCCTGAGGAGATTGAAGCGCAGCTGCATGCTGAGAAGCAGAAGGCCAGGGAAGAAGAGGACCAAAAAGAAGGTGGAGATGGGGCTGCAGGTGACCCCAAAAAGGAGAAGAAATCTCTAGACTCAGATGAAGAGTGAGGACGAAGAAGGTGACTACCAGCAAAAGTGCAAAGGCGTCGAAGGGCTCAGAGACATCGAGAACCCCAACCGGGTGGCACAGACAACCAAAAAGGTCACACAACTGGATCTGGACGGGCCAACAGAGCTTTCGAGGAGAGAACGAGAAGAGATTGAGAAGCAGAAGGCAAAAGAGCGTTACATGAAAATGCACTTGGCCGGGAAGTCAGAGCAAGCCAAGGCCGACCTGGCCCAGCTGGCCATCATCCGGAAACAGCGGGAGGAGGCTGCCAGGAAGAAGGAAGAGGAAAGAAAAGCAAAAGACTATGCCACATTGTCAGGAAAACGAATGCAGTCACTCTTCCTGTATAAGTAACCGCAACCCGTGGGAGGAGATGCCGGGGACCTGGGCCGCGCTGCCAGGACCTCTGCTGTGTCTCGCCCACCCTGTGCCCTGGCGCCGCTGCAACAGCCCCTCACGGCCAGGAGCCCCCCATGGCCTGGGGTCTCCTCTTCATCTTCGCACATAAATTGTTTGGAGGATGTGGTGAGGCGCTGGGGCAGGGGCAGCTGCTATCTTTGAGACAGAAAGATGCAGGACAGCATTTCATATATAACCATTTGAATGTTTTCACTGTTTTTACAATTCAGAGCCCTTGCTGGGGGTGCCTGGGAGATGGGGTAAGAATAGCTTTCATTTGTCTGATAGATAGCACTTAAGGGGGTGGTTGACCCAGGAGGCAGCTGCTGACGGGTTTGCTACGCCCAGCCCCGGACTGTGTTGCCTGGGTGCTCATTCAGAGAGAGGCTGTCATCTGGGAGCCCGTGTCCCTGTGTCCTCAAGGGTCATGGCTTGTTCCTGGTCAGTCCTATCTGACCGAAGCCTCGCCTGTCTGCCCTTCTCTGACCGGTTCCTACCCACCTGGCCGGGGCCAGTGCGCCTTTTTAACCCTACCCGTTGATCATTTCAAGAAACCTCTGTTTACTGTGTGGCACCCAGGCAAAACATGCTCCACAAATTCAACTTGTATATTTGGCAGATTAAACTTGACATTATCGAAAAAAAATAAAAATAAAAAAGTCAAAAGAAATAGAAAAAGAATGATAAAAAATAGAGAATGCATATGAGATCTAGAAAATAGCCTCAAAAGTGCAAATATAACAATGATTACCTTAAAAAGAGAGCAGAGAAAAGATAGGGGTATAAAGTTTATTCAAACATTAACAGAGAACTTTGCAAACCTAGCAAAACATATTAATATCCAGGTGCAAGAAGACCAACAATCAACAAACAGACTCAATCCAAATAAGACAACTCTAAGGTGTCAAACTCTCAATGGTCAATGAAAAAGAAAGGATACTAAAAGAAGCAAGAGAAAAAAAGCAAATATAAAGGAATTCAGAAAAAACTGGCAGCAGACTTCTTGGTGGAAATGCTATGGGTCAAAAGGGAGAATGAAATATTTAAACTGCTGAAGAAAAATAAACTAAAAACCAAAAAATACTGTACCTAGCAGAGCTAGCCTTTAAATATGAAGGATAAATTTAAAAAAAAACTTTCCGGAACAAAATAAAATTTTATTAAAAATTTTCACATTAAAGAAAAGCCCAAGAACTGATGACTACACTGCTGAATTCTAACAATCACTCAAAGAAGAACTAATATAAATTCAACTCTAACTTTTCAAGAAAATTGAAAAGGAGGGAATCTTTTCAACTCATTTTATGAGGCCAACATTTTCCTGATACCAAAACCAAAGACGCAACAAAAATAGAAAACTAAACATCAACATCACTGATGAACACAGATGAAAATCTTGCACAAAATACTTGCACACTGAATTCAACAACACATTTAAAAGATCATTCACCATGATAAAGTGTAAAACATCCCATAGATGAGTGATCAATACACATGAAAGAAAATGTGATACATTGAATTAGTAGTCAAAAAAAAAATTCAAATAATAATCTCAGTAGATGCTAACAACGGATTTGAGAAAATTAAACATCCTTTTATAATTAAAAAACGCTAAAAAACTGGGTATAGAAGGAACATATCTCAAAATAATGAAGGTCATATATGACAAGCCTATAGCTAACATTATATTGAGAAAAAAATGAGTTTTTCTTTAAGATTTACAACAAGGTGAGGAAGCCTGCTTTTATCATTTTTTATTCAGTACAGTACTGAAAGTCCTAGGCAGAGCAATTAGATAAGGGAAACAAATAAAGGGCATCAAAATTGGAAAGATAGAATTCAATTGTTCCCTGTGTGCAGACACTATGATCTTATATTTAGGAAAAATGAAAGACTCCACCTAAATAATCTTAGAACTGATACATGAATTCAATAAAGTTACAAGATACAAAATTAACATGTACAAATCAGTAGTGTAAGTCGCAGCAAACAATCTGGAAAAAAAGTTAAGAAAGCAATTCTATTTACAATAGCGACAAAATGTACTTAGGAATAAATGTAACCAAAGAATTAAAAGATCTTTGAATAAAAACTATAGAACATCAGTAAAAGAAATTGAAGAGGACACAAAAAGGTAGAAAGCTGTTCCATGTTCATGGATTGGAAAAAATAATACTGTTAAAATGTCCATAATATCCAAAATGATCTACATTTTCAATGTAATCCCTATCAGAATAGCAATAAGATTCTTCTTAGAAGTGAAAAAAATCATAAATTTTGTATAAAACCATGAAATACTTGAAAAGTCAAAGCAACCCTTAGCAAAAATAGCAAAGCTGGAGGTATTATACTAACAGACTTCAAAATATACTACAGAGCTATACTAATCAAAACAGAAAGGTACTGGTATGAAAACAGGCACAAAGACCAATGAAACAGAATAGATAACTCAGAAATGAATCCATTCATTTGCAGCCAACTCATTTTTACAAAAGGCACCAAGAACATACTATGGGGAAAGGAAAATCTATCCAATAAATGGTTCTGGGAAAACTGAATATCCATGTACAGAAGAATGAAACTGGACTACTATCTCTCACTGTATTAGTCCATTTTTATATTGCTATAAGGAACTATCAGAAACTGGGTAATTTATGAAGAAAAAAATGTTTAATTGACTCACAGTTCTGCAGGCTTAACAGGATATGTGACTGGGAGTCCACAGGAAACGTACAATCACGGCAGAAAGCAAAGGGGAAGGAATACCTTCTTCACATGGTGGCAGGAGAGAGAGAGAGTGGAAAAGGAAGTGCCACACACTTTCAAACAACCAGATCTCATGAAAACTCACTCACTTTCATGAGGACAGCAAGGGGGAATTCTGCCCCCATGATTCAATCACCTCTCAATAGGCCCCTTCCCCAAAATATGGGGGTTACAATTTGAGCTAAAATTTGGGTGGGGACACAGAGCCAAACTATATCAATCCACCTCTGGTCCCTCCCAAATCTTATGTCTTTCTTACATTTTAAAATACAATCATGCCTTCCCAACAGTTCCCCAAAGTCTTAACTCATTTCAGCATTAACTGAAAATTCCAGTCCAAAATCTCATCTGAGACAACATAAGTCCTTTCTGCCTATGAGCCTGTAAAATAAAAAAAGAAATTAGTTACTTCCAAGATCCAATGGAAGTACAAATATTGAGTAATTGTTCCCATTCCAAAAGGGAGAAATTGGCCTAAACAAAGGGCCTACAGACCCCATGCAAGTCTGAAACCCAGCAGGGCAATTATTAAATCTTAAAGCTCCAAAATAATCTTATTTGACTCCATGTCTTACATCCTGGGCATGCTGATGCAAGGAGTGGGCTACCAAGACCTTGGGCAGCTCTGCTCTTATAGCTCTGCAGGGTACAGCCCCTGTGGCTGCTTTCATGGGCTGGCTTTGAATGCCTGCAGCTTTTCCAGACACATGATGCAGCTCCATTCTAGAGTCTAGAGGACAGTTGTGCTCTCCTCACAGCTCTACTAGGCAGTGTCCCAATGAGGACTCTGTGTGGGGACTCCAAACCCACATTTTCTCTCTGTACTGCCCTAGTAGAAGTACTCCATGAGGGCTCTGACTCTGTAGCAGACTTCTGTCTGGACATGAGGTATTTCCATACATCCTCTGAAATCTAGATGGAGGTTCCCAAACCTCAATTCTTGCCTTGTGTGCACTCACAGGTTCAACACCACATGGAAGCCACCAAGGCTTTTGGCTTGCACCCTCTGAAGCCATGGCCTAAGCTGTACCTTTGCCCCTTTCAGCCAGAGTTGGAGCTGAAGTGGTTGGGATGCAGAGTACCATGTCCCAAGGCTGCACAGAGCAGCAAGGCTCTGGGCCTGGCCACACAAAACCATTTTCCCTTTTAAACCTTCAATCCTATGATGAGAAGCGGTGCTGTGAAAATCTCTGAAATGCCCTGGAGACATTTACTCTATTGTCTTTGCTATTAACATTAGGCTTCTCTATACTGATGCAAATTTCTGCAGCAGGCTTGAATTTCTCTCCAGAAAATGAGTTTTCATTTCTACCACATGGTCGGGTGCAAATTTTCCAAAATTTTATACTTTGCTTCTCTTTAAACATAAGTCCCAATTTCAGATCATATCTTTGTGAACACATATGACTATATGCTGTTAGGAGCAGACAGGCCACAACTTGAATGTTTTGCTCCTTAGACATTTCTTCTGCTAGATAGTCTATATCATTTCCCTCCAGTTCATAGTTACACAGATCTCTAAGGCAGGGGCAAAATACTGCCAGTATCTTTGCTTAATCATAGAGAGAGTGACATTTATTCCAGTTTCTAATAAATTCCTCATCTCCATGTGACAACTCCTCAGCCTGGACTTTATTGTCCATATTACTATTAGCATTTTGGTCAAAACCATTCAACAAGTCTCTAGAAAGTTCCAAATTTTCCTACATCTTCTTATCTTCTTCTGAGCCCTCCAAACTGTTCCACTGTCTACCTCTTACCCAGTTCCAAAGTTGCATTCTCATTTTCAGGTATCTTTAAAGCAGTGTTCCACTCTCCTGGTACCAATTTTCTGTATAAGTCTGTTTTTACACTGGTATAAAGAACTGATAATGGGTAATTTATGAATAATAGAGGTTTAATTTACTCACAGTTCCACAGGTTTAAGAGGAGACATGATTGGGAGGTGTCAGGAAACTTACAATCATGATGGAAGGTGAAGGGGAAGAAAATACCCTATTCACATGGCAGCAGGAGAGAGAGAGAGTAGAGGGGGAAAGTGCCACACACTTTCAAACAATCAGATCTTACAAGAGCTCACTCACTATCACAAGAACAGGAAGTGAGAATTCTCCCATGATTCAATCACCTCCCACTAGGCCCCTTCCCTGGAATGTGGGGATTACAATTTGAGATGAGATTTGGGTGGGGATACAGAGCCAACCCATATCACTCACTATATACAAAAATAAACTTGACATGGATTAAAGACTTAAATGTAATATATGAAACAAAAGCAAAAATTGATAAATGGGTTACATCAAGCTAAAAAGCTGCACAGCAAAAGAAGCCATCAACAACGTGAAGCGACAACATACACAATGGAAAAATATTGACAATCTATCCATCTGACTAGGGATTAATAACAGAATATATAAAGAACTGAAACAACTAAACAGGAAAAACAAACAAAATACATATGAAATTCAAATAAATAGCAAAATAAAATTCAAATAATTCAATTTAAAATGAGTCAAAGAGCTTAATATACATTTCTTGAAAGAAGTCACATAAATGTTCAACAGATATTTAAAATTGCTGAACATCACCAATCATGAAGTAAATGCAAATCAAAATCTAAATCAGATGTCATCTCACCCTAGTTATAATGGCTATTATAAAAATAAATAAACAAAAAAATAACATGCTGGTGAGGATGCAAAGAAGAATAAACTCTTAAATGTTTTTGGTGGGAATGTAAATTAGTACAGCCATTAAGACAAAGAATGTGAAGCTTTCTCAAAAAACTAAAAATAGAACTACCATATGATCCAGCAATTCCACTGCTGCATATATAAATCTGAAAGAAAGTCAGTATATCAAAGAGATCTGCACTCTCTTGCTTATTGCAGCACTATTTATAATAGCCAAGATAATCAATCCACCTGTGTGCATCAACAGATGAATAGATAAAGAAAATGTGTTATATATACATTTTCTATATATATATATATATATAGAGAGAGAGAGAGAGAGAGAGAGAGAGAGTGAAATACTATTAAGTCATAAAAAAGAAAATCCTATTTTGCAGTAACACAGATGGAACTGGTGAACATTATAAGTGAAATAAACCAGGCACAGAAAGAAAAATATTGTATGTTCTGACTCATATGTGGGAACCATAACAATTGATTTTATAGACATAGTGAGTAGAATAGTTGTTACCTGAGGCTGGGAAGGGTAAGAAGGAAGCAGGTATGGAAAAAGATTGATTAATGTGTACAAAAATGCAGTTAAATAGGAGAAAAAAGTTCTAGGGTTCAATAACATAGTAGGGCAACTATAGCTACAAAAATGTATTGTATGGGGTGGGACTAAGATGGCCGACTAGAAGCAGTGGCTTTCAGACGTTCCCACCCAAAAAAATCATAATAAGCCTGTGAATCTTTCACCAGTAACCAGGGTATTTGGGTTGTCACATCAAAATTGACTAGAAGGCTGGAGTGACTCATGGAGAGAAGGAAGAACAGTGTGGTGCAATGGACCACCTGAGAGCCACCTGGGGAAGGGGAAACCCCTGCCTCTAGCCAACAGAGGTATGAGTGAGCCTACTACTCAACAGGGGAAACTGCTTTTTCCATGGAACTGCGCAGCTAACGGATCAAAAGATCCCACTCATGAATCCATGCCACTGGGGCCTGGTGTCCCAACCCCGAAATGCACAAATTCTTGCAGCCTTTCAGCTGGAATCTGCTTAAGCCTACTGAACTCCCAGGGGAAGGGGTGACCAGCACCCACTATGGCTGCCTGCTGTCCAAGCCATTTGAGATCCTTGAGGGAGGGGCAGCAGACAGCGCTGGGACTTAAAACTGCCTAACATGCTAAGATCCCTGGGCGGGGGAAGGGCGGCACCCATTTCTATAGTTCCAGGCTGCATTTTTCCCCTGTTGGAGCCAGGGAGGCTGGAAGGCCTGGTCCCAAGACTTGTTCCCACAGCCCAACACCCAGCTGTGGCAGTCAGAGTGCCTCCTCAGGTGTCTCTTGAGGTCAGATCCCAGAGGAAGGAGATGGCACCCATTTTTGCTGTTCTCCAGCCTCCTTAGGTGACATCAGATAAATGGGGCCTGAAGTGAACCCCCAGCAAACTGCAGCTGCCCTACAGAAGAGGGACCTGACTATTGAAGGAAAATAAAAACAAGCAGAAAGCAACAACAACAGCATCAACAACAACAACAAAAAGGGCCTCCTCCACAAAAACCCCATCCAAAGATCAGCAGCCTGAAAGACCAAAACTAGACAAACTCATGAAGGCGAGAAAGAATCAATGAAAAAATGCTGAAAACCCAAAAGGCCAGAATGCTTCTTCTTATCCAAATCATTGCAACGCCTCTCCATCAAGAAGGTAGAACTGGATGAAGGATCAGATGGATGAATTGACAGAAGTAGGCTTCAGGAGATGGGTAATAAAAAAACTATACTGAGCTCAAGGAGCATGTTCTAAGACAATGCAAAGAAGCTAAGACCCTTGATAAAAGGTTAGAGGAATTGCTTACTAGAATAGCTACTTTAGAAAGGAACATAAATGAACTGATGGAGGTGAAAAACACAGCACAAAAACTTTATGAATCATACACAAGTATCAACAGCTTAATTGACCAAGCAGAAGAAAGGGCATCAGAGTTTGAAGACCAACTCACAGAAATAAGACATGCAGACAAGCATAGAAAAAAAATAATGAAAAACAATGAACAAAGCCTCTAAGAAATATGGGACTTCATCAGAAGACCAAACCTATGATTGATTGGAGTATCCGAAGCAGATGGGGAGAATGGAAACAATCTGGAAAACACACTTCAGGATACTATCTAGGAGACCTTCCCCAACTAGCAAGACAGGCCAACATGCAAATTCAGGAAATACAGAGAACACCATTAAGATACTCCAAGAGAAGATCAACCCCAGGACATGTAATCATCAGGTTCTCCAAGGTCAAAATAAGGAAAAACTGTTAAGGGCAGCCAGAAAAATAAATAAGGCCAGGTCACCTACAAAGGGAAGCCAATCAGACTAACAGCAGACCTCTCAGCAGAAACTCTACAAACCAGAAGAGATTTGGAGCCAATGTTCAACATTCTTAAGGAAAAGAATTTTCAACCCAGAATTTCATATCCAGCCAAACTAAGCTTCATAAGTGAAGGAGAAATAAAATCCTTTCCAGACAAGCAAATGCTGAGTGATTTCATTGCCACCAAGCCTACCCTGTGAGAGCTCCTGAAAGAAGCACTAAACATGAAAAGGAAAAACTGGTACCAGCCACAGCAAAAACACACCAAAATCTAAAGACTGATGACATTATGAAGAAACTGCATCAACTAATGTGCAAAATAACCAAATAGCATCATTATTACAGGAGCAAATTCACACATAACAATACTAACCTTAAATGTAAATGGGCTAAATGCCCTCAATAAAAAGACACAGACTGGCAGATTGGATAAGGAGTCAAGACCCATTAGTGTGCTGTATTCAGGAGACCCATCTTACATGCAATGACACACACAGGCTCAAAATAAAGGGATGGAGGAAAATTTAGCAAGCAAATAGAAAGCAAAAAAAAAGCAGAGGTTGCAATATCAATCTCTGACAAAACAGACTTTAAACCAACAAATATCAAAAAAGACAAAGAGAGGCATTACATAATGATAAAGGGAACAATTCAACAAGATGAGCCAGCTAACTATTTTAAATATATATGCATCCAATACAGGAGCACCCAGATTAATAAAACAAGCTTTTGGACACCTACAAAGAGACTTAGACTCCCACATATTAAAAGTGGAGACTTTAACACCCCACTGTCAGTATTACACAGATCAATGAGACAGAAAATTAACAAGGATATTCAAGACTTGAACTCAGCTCTGGATCAAGAGTGGACCTCGTAGATGTCTACAGAACTCTCTACCCAAATCAACAGAATATACATTCTTCTCAGTGCCACATGGCACTTACTCTGAAATCAACTACATAATTGGAAGTAAAACACTCCTTAGCAAATTCAAAATAACCGAAATCATAACAGTCTCTCAGACCACAGTGCAATGAAATTAAAACTCAGGATTAAGAAACTCACTCAAAACCACACAATTTAGTGGAAATTCAACAACCTGCTCCTGAATGACTCTTGGGTAAATAATGAAATTAAGGCAGAATTCAAGAAGTTCTTTGAAACCAGTGAAAACAAAGAGACAATGTACCAGAATCTCTGGGAAACAGCTAAAGCAGTGTTAAGAGGGAAATTTATAGCACTAAATGTCCACATCAGAAAGCTGGAAAGATCTCAAATTGACACCTTAACATCACAATTAAAAGAGCTAGAGATGCAAGAGCAAATTAACCCAAAAGCTAGCAGAAGACCAGAAAGATCTAAGATCAGAGAAGAAGTGAAGGAGATAAAGACAAACAAAAAAACCTGCAAAAAATCAATAAATCCAGGGGCTGGTTTTTTGAAAAAATTAACAAAATAGATATACGACTAGCTAGACTAATAAAGAAGAAGAGAGAGAAGAATCAAATAGACACAATAAAAATGATAAAAGGGATATCACCACTGACCCCACAGAAATACAAACTACCATCAGAGAATACTATAAATACCTCTATGCAAATAAACTAGAAAAACTAGAAAAAAAATGGATAAATTCCTGGATGCATACACCCTACCAAGACTAAATCAGGAAGAAGCTGAATCTCTGAATAGACAAATAACAATCTCTGAAATTGAGGCAGTAATTAATAACCTACCAACAAAAAGAAGCCCTGGACCAGATGAATTCACAGCAGAATACTACCAGAAATACAAACAGTAGCTGGTACCATTCCTTTTGAAACTATTCCAAACAATTGAAAAGGAAGGAATCCCCCTTAACTCATTTTATGAAGCCAGCATCATCCTGATACCGAAACTGGGAAGAGACACAACTAAAAAGGAAAACTTAAGGCCAATATCCCTGATGAACATTGATGCGAAAATCCTCAATAAAATAATGGCAAACCAAATCCAGCAGCACATAAAAAACTTATCCCCGCAACCAAGTTGACTTCACCCCTGGGATGCAAGGCTGGTTCAACACATGGGAATCAATCAATGTAATCCATCACGTAAACAGAAACAAAGACAAGAAAAATCTATTGACAATTATGTCAATAGATGCAAAAAACACCTTTGATAAATTTCAACATCTCTTCATGTTAAAAACTCTCAATAAACTAGGTATTGATGGAACATATCCCAAAATAATAAGAGCTATTTATGAAAACTAATAGCCAATATCATATTGAATAGGCAAAAGCTGGAAGCATCCCCTTTGAAAATTGGCACAAGACAAGGATGCCCTCTCTCACCACTCCTATTCAACATAGTACTGGAAGTTTTGGCCAGTGCAATCAGGCAAGAGAAAGAAATAAAGTGATTCAAATAGGAAGAGAGGAAGTCAAATTGTCTCTATTTGCAGATGACATAATTTTATATTTAGAAAATCCCATCATCTCAGCCCAAAAACTTCTTGAACTAATAAGCAATTTCAGCAAAGTCTCAGGATAAAAAATCAATGTGCAAAAATCACAATATTCCTTTACACCAACAATAGGCAAGCAGAGAGCCAAGTCATGAATGAACTCCCATTCACAGTTGCTACAAAGAGAATAAAATACCATACAGCTAACAAGGGACATGAAGGACCTCTTCTAGGAAAACTGTAAACCATTGCTCAAGGAAATAAGAGAGGACACAAATGGAAAGACATTTCATGCTCATGGATAGGAAGAATCAATATCATGAAAATAGCCATAATGCCCAAAGTAATTTATAGATTCAATGCTATTCCTATCAAACTACCATTGACATTCTTCACAGAATTAGAAAAAAAGTATTTTAAATTTTACATGGAATCAAATAAGACCTAGTATAGCCAAGACAATCCTAAGCCATAAGAACAAAGCTGGGGGCATCACACTACCTGACTTCAAACTATACTACAAGGCTACAGTAACCAAAACAGCATGGTACTGGTACCAAAACAGACATATAGACCAATGTAGCAGAACAGAGACCTTAGAAATAGCACAACACCACACATTTCCAATTATCTGATCTTTGACAAACCTGACAAAAACAAGCAATGGGGAATGGATCTCCTATTCAATAAATGGTGCTGGGAAAACTGGCTAGCCACATGCAGAAAACTGAAACTGGACCCCTTCCTTACACTTAATACAAAAATTAACTCAACATGGATTAAAGACTTAAATGTAAAACATAAAATCATAAAAACCGTGGAAGAAAACCTGGGCAATACCATTCAGGACATAGGCATGTGCAAAGACTTCATGAATGAAACAGCAAAAGCAATTGCAACAAAAGCCAAAATTGACAAAAGCAATCTAGATAAAATAAAGAGTTTCTGCACAGTAAAAGAAACTATCATCAGAGTGAACAGGCAACCTACAGAATGGGAGAAAATTTTTGCAATTTACCCATCTTACGAAGGTCTAATATCCAAAATTTACTAGGAACATAAACATATTTACAAGAAGAAACAGACGACCCCATCAAAAAGTGGGCAAAGTATATGAACAGACACTTCTGAAAAAAAAAGACATTTATGTGGCCAACAAACATGATCGACATCATTGATCATCAGAGAAATGCAAATCGAAACCACAATGAGATACCATCTCACGCCAGTCAGAATGGCAATTATTGAAACATCAGGAAACAATAGATGCTGGCGAGGCTATGGAGAGATATAAATGCTTTTACAATGTTGGTGGGAAAGTAAATTAGTTCAACTATTGTGGAAGACAGTATGGTGATTCCTCGAGGATATAGAGCCAGAAATACCATTTGACCCAGCAATCCCATTACTGGGTATATATCCAAAGGAATATAAATCATTCTATTATAAAGAAATATGCACATGTATGTTTATTGCAACACTATTTACAATAGCAAAGACATGGAACCAACCGAAATGCCCATCAGTGATTGACTGGATAAATAAAGTGTGACATACATCCACCATGGAATACTATGCAGCCATAAAAATGAATGAGATCATGTCCTTTGAAGGGACATGCATGAAGCTGGAAGCCATCATTCTCAGCAATCTAACACAGGAACAGAAAACCAGACACTGCATGTTCTCACTCATAAGTGGGATCTGAACATTAAGAACACATGGACACAGAGAGGGAAACAACACACACCAGGGCCTGTTGGGGGGTAGCAAGTGAGGGAAGGGAACTTAGAGGATGGGTCAATAGGTGCAAAAAACCATCATGGAGCATGTATACGTATGTAACAAACCTGCACATTCTGCACATGTATCCTGTTTTTATTTTTTTTTAGAAGAAATAAAGAAAAATATTATTGTATATTTCAAAATGGCTGGAAGGAAAGACTTGAGATACTCCCAACACAAATAAATGATAAGTGTTTGAGGTGACAAACATCCCAGTTACCCTGGCTTGGTCATTATACATTCTAGCATGTATCAAAATATTACATGTACCCCATAAATATGTACAACTATTATGTATCAAAAAAACTAAACTGATCTTCACCATATATTATGTTATCATTGCTTCTTTGTCAAGAAACAAAGTCAAAAAACAAGTCAAGAAACAAATGCAAAACTGATAAATTAATTTGACCATGGTAGTACATGTATTAAATGGTGAAATCAATAATGTGATGCGATTTGACTTATTAAACACTATGTTATGCTGTCTTTCTTGATGAAAGTATCAAGAAAATATTAATTACTACTATTACCAGCATAAGCACCCACAGAAACAGAAAGAAAACTAAATGATCGAAAACATCTATTATAAAAATATAAACTAATTAAATTTTTTTAGAAAACAGAAATTATTATTTATAAGACCAAAATATTATTTATAAGACCAAAACCAATACAAATATATTTCTCTGTAGAAAAGACAAGAAAAAAAGCAGAAAATACTGAAAGTAACAGAAATTGTGTTAAGATCATAAAAGTATGAAAATCATTAATAACAATACTAATGGCAGAATTAAACAAAGAAAAACTAAGCATTAAATTGTATAAAGGGGTATAAGCCATGATATATTCTATCTACCAATATTCAGGAGGTATGCTCAGTATAGATATTATGGCAAAGTACAAATATTGACATCTATGTACCTTCACCAATGTAATACTTACTATGTGAGACTAACATTAGACAAATATATGCAGAAAATATTTAAATATTTTATATGTGCTATGAAAGAAAGTTTACTGATGTTACGAAAGCTATAGCATTCACTAAACGTTATGTAACTGATACTATTATAACAATATGTCTAAAACAAAAAAATGCTATGAATGCCAGAAGATAATTATCTTGATTTTTATCTCTCTCCTATAAAGTGGATCTGAGGAATAATTTTTTTTAAATGCATATGAAAATAAGATTTTTAACTTTTCTCTGGGTTTCTGTTCTTATAGACATTTAAGTGAAAAATAACTAAAAAAAAATATACATTTTCTTTCATGTACACCTTAGTCAAGAATAACTGAAGGTCACAGACCGAAGCTCAAGCTCCAGCTACTATTGCTGTTTAGATTAAAACTTTTTCTGTATTTTAAATTACAATATATTTAATCTTTCTTGCTATTCTATTTAGATACCATGCCAATTCTAAATAATATAACTCACATATTTTTTTCTGCTGGAATAAAATATAATTAAATATCAAGACCTTATTTATATTAAGCATATAGTTGTTTGCAGTTTGAAAAAATTTCTTCTGAATTTTAAGTATTTGGGTTTTTTGAATCTCAGAAACCATAATTCTTTCTTTAGAATAACATAATCTATTATTTCCCCAAAGTAGTCCAGACATATTTACTATATATTTTATATGTTATTCTAAAGAAAAAATTAAGGTTTCTGAGACATATTGTTATAATAGTATCAGTTACATAATGTTTAGTGAATTCTATAGCTTTCATAACAGCAGTAAACTTTCTTTCATAGCACATATAAAATATTTAAATTCGTGAAAGCCTAAAACTCTGTTGGCCTGGACTGAAATAGAGTTTCTTTTAGGAAGATTTTTTTTTTTTTTTTGGTTTTTGTGAGTTACCTGGGAGTAATTTTTTTGTTTGTTTGTTTGTTTGTTTGCTTTTTAAGATGGAGTCTCGCTCTGTCACCAGGCTGGAGTGCAGTGGTGCAATCTCGACTCACTGCAACCTCTGCCTCCCAGGTTCAAGCGATTCTCCTGCCTGAGCCTCCCGAGTAGCTGGGACTACAGGCACACACACCACAATGCCCAGCTAATTTTTTGTATTTTTAGTAGAGACGGGGTTTCACCATGTTGGCCAGAATGGTCTTGATCTCTTGACCTCATGATCTGCCCACCTCAGCCTCCCAAGGTGCTGGGATTACAGGTGTGAGCAACCATGCCTGGCCACCTGGGAGTAAATTTTAAATTAAAATTTATGCTTAAGAATTTTTTGACCATGCTTTTAATGTTAATCTTGGAAAGATCTGTTTTAACTTTATGTCCAGCAAACAAT